>NC_000009.12:39706969-39858484 GCF_000001405.40 Homo sapiens | reverse complement strand
AGCAACAGGAACTCTCATTCAGTGCTGATGGAAATACAAAATGGAGAATAGTTTTGTGGCATCTTAGAAAACTAAATCTACTCTTATTATACGACCCCGCAATCTTGTTTCTTGGTATATACCCAAAGGAGTTGAAAACTTATGTCCACACAGAAACCTGCACACAGATGTTTATGGACGTTTTATTTATAATTGCAAAAATTTGGAGACAAGCAAGATTACCTTCAGTAGGTGAATAATTAAACAAACTGTATTACATCCAGACAACTGAATACCATTCAATGATAAAATAAATGGCTGTCAAGCCATGAAAAGACACAGTGGAAGCTTACATGCATATTGCAGAATGAAAGAAGCCAATCTAAAAAGGCTACGTATGTCACTTCCAACTTTATGACCTTCTGGAAAAGGTAATACTATAGAAATAGAAAAAAAAATCAGTGGTTCCCAGGAGTTAGGAGGAAGAGAGGGATGAATAACCAGAGCACAGAGGATGCTTAAGGCAGTGAAAGTACGTGTATGATATTTTAATAGTGAATACTTGTCATTGTAAATTTGTCCAAGCCCAAGTGTGAACCTTAATGCAAACTATAAGATGTATCATGTAGGTTCTTTAATTGTAACAAATGCACCACTCTGGTGGGGGATGTTTATTATGGGGGAGGCTATGCATGTGTGGGGGACAGGGAGTATATGGGAAATCTATACCTGCTGCTCAGTTTTGCTGTGAACTTTGAACTGCTCTTAAAAATAATGTGTGTATGTGTGTATATATACATACATATACATGTTTGTGTGTATGCATATCTGATCATAAGAAACAATACATAGTTTCACTTATTTAAAAAGTCAAATGTGCAAAACTAAACAATATACAAGTCTGTAATGACAAGCAATGGAATGATTAACAGGAAGTTAGGGATAGTGGTTACCTCTTGTGGAAGGAGTGAGTGGCATTGTAGAAGGGCAATGGGAGTTTCTAAGATACTGGAAATATTCTATTTCATAACCTGAAGGAAGGACACATATGCTCATTTTATATTCTTCTTAAGCTGTACACACACACTTTTATATTTATGATCTATTTCATTAAGTAATAAGACAATTAAATATATGCATTTGTAAATAAGTGAGATTAACAAATTTTTGGATACATTTAACTTATTAAAGTTGACTCAAATAATTAGAAAATCTGGATGGAAATCATACCATTAAAGTAATTGAGTTGATAATTAATAATTCTACAAAGAAAACAGGATGCCCAGATGATGTCACAAGTAGTTCCAATGTTACACTAATTATTTGCGAGGGGAGAAAAAAGAGGCCATTCTTCAATTCATTTGAGACTAGGGTAACCTTGCTATTGTGTACCTCATCCATGCACACAGAGACAAATATTGTAAACAAAATACTAGGAAGTATACCTAGCAAAGTATAAAAACCATGAACAAGCTCGGTTAGTAATACAAATTTAGTTCAATGTTAGAAAATCTACTGAAATCATCTCCTTATCAATGAATTAAAGACAAAAGTTATATGATTGTCTCAAAAGGCCTATAAAATTATTTTACAAAAATTAAATAATTCATGATATTTCCACCTATGAATAAAGGGTAATTTCCTTAACCTGATAAAAGGAGTCAACAAATAACCTACAGCACCTATCATGTTTTGTGATTAAAAATATCGAAATCACTCCTTTTAAAATCAAGAAAAAGACAAGAGTACCATTGTCACTAAACTGCTTCCAAAGCTTATACGGAAGATAAAAGGGCCCAGTATAACTAAGACAATCCCATAGAAGACTAAAGTGTGTGAAGGTGGGAGGTGGAGCTTATGTGAGTCTATCACGTACCAGATTTACTGTGAAGTTATAATTACCACAGCAGGAATTGCTATTGTGAAAGTGTATGCTTGTGTGAAATCTTGATGTATGCCCTGGCTAACATTACAGAACAGTCAGAAAGGGTCTATATAATCCATGGTATGAGCAGTTGGTATCCATATGGGAAAATATCAGAATGGATCTCTATCCCAAAAATGGATCGCTATCACACAAAGGCCAGATCTAAATGGACAAAGGACTTAAATTTGAGATGCAAATATTTAAAAATCTTTTAGAAGAAAATATAGGAGGGTAACTTATTACATGCCACACCTACTATGTGTACTTTGTACGATGCAAGTGTTGTATATGAGTGTAGTATGTTAAGTGTAGATGCCTCTAAGCAGTATATGCATGCTTGCTACTTTACACACGTGAAACACTGGGAATGGGAGCATGAGAGGAAACCCTAGGTCATTCTGGTCTCCAGACTGCTGCTCCTGCCCACCCCCGGTTCCAGCACTCCCTTCCCCATTCTCCTATACAGATCCTCTGTTCCCGGCACAGCCACTTACAGCAGCTCAAGCCAGCGGCACCCACGGAGAGGCCCTCTTCACCCTACTGCTGGGCTGTCATGTCCCCTTTCTTTTCTTTCTGAAAAACAGTTTTCTCTGCCTGTGACTCCTCATGTTTCACTCTCTCTAAAGCACACGGAAGCCCGGTTCCCTCCTCTGCTTTATCAGACCTGTTGCTGTGAGTTCCACTAGTGACCCTGCATGACAAATTCAGAGGTTTGCTCCCTTTTGCATAGCGTAAAATGTTTACCTCGTGACCTACTTGATAAATACAATTTTATAATTGTTAAGCTATCTATATATTCTGTATCTGTTTTAAAAATTATTTATAGGCCAGGCAAGGTGGTTCACGCCTGTAATCCCAGCAGTTTGAGAGGCCGAGGCAGGAGGATCATGAATTCAGGAGATTGAAACCATCCTCGACAACATGGTGAAACTCCGTCTCTACTAAAAATACAAAAATTAGCTGGGCATGGCAGCAGGCACCTGTAATCCCAGCTACTCAGGAGGCTGCAGCAGGAGAATTGCTTGAACCAAGGAGGTGGAGATTGCAGTGAGCCAAGATTGTGCCACTGCACTCCAGCCTGGCGACAGAGTGAGACTCCGTCCTCACACACCCCCCCAAAAATATAAAGACAATGTCAGTTATGCCACACATAGATTGTTTTTATTCCATAAAACTGCTCTCCATATGTGTAATATGTTTCTACTTCACACATAGTTTTGATCAAAGATTAATCTATTGCATACTTTTCTTAGTAATTAATAAAACTCAGCTTGGATTTCTCTAGCCAGATAAAACACCTTATACTAAATGAATCAATCAAAGCTCTTTGTTGGAGTGAGATCTGAAAGCTTTCGCTCAAGCTGGCTGCCTCAGCTTCACAGCATCAAATAATGGAGGGAGAAGTGGAGGCTGACATGCAGCAAGAATGACTGTGTGTGTGTTGGAGAGATATTTTGTTTAATTCATTTACAAGATACTCATGCCACACTGCTACGTGCCAAACAGCTGTTCTTGCTACTTGGTAAAAATTAATCATCTAATAGTTGAAAAGTTAATTGTTGTAATATGACTTCAGTATGGCCACTCTCCGGGATTGGGAGCCAAAAAAAAAAAAAAGCATCACCATCATGATTGAGAAATGGAGTTACTGGCAGTAGTGGAGCAAACCACGATTCTGCACTTGGACACAGAATTATTCCTGACAAGATCCTGGCTCTTAACTCTTCCACCAAAACTGAGTCTGCAGCTCCCACACTGAAATGCCGCTCATTTCACCCCAAGTGTGTTCCAGCCGTTCCTTCTTCTTCT
The DNA here is from genome assembly GCF_000001405.40 of Homo sapiens. NCBI lineage: Eukaryota > Metazoa > Chordata > Mammalia > Primates > Hominidae > Homo > Homo sapiens. The sequence continues at coordinate 39,854,769 of NC_000009.12, read as the reverse complement.
CCTTCCTACCAGCTCTGTAATGTCTCCATCACAATGCTAAGGTCAGGGTCAATGGCACCTCTTTTTAGAAACTTTCTGAGAGCCCTGGAAAGTAATCTCTTCTTGTTCTTATTCCATGATCTCCTGTACGTTCTTTTTCTTTTTTTTTTGAGACGGAGTCTCGCTCTGCTGTACCTTCTTTAAATCACTGATGATCATTTGTGTAGATGAGTTGTCTCCGTGTGTGTCTGACCTTTCTCCCAGTTGGTGAGTTTTGGAATCCAGGAAGCATTTTAGTAAAGTAATAGTTTTTAGTAATTTAGTTCACCTCTGTGCACCCTACAGCCGTTTCTCACATGTTGGGGCTGCCCAGTGAGCACTTGCTGAGGGAAACTGCAGGGAGACTTGCAGGTCAGGTTCACTGAGCCAGAAAGTGAAGCAAACTGAGAGGGCAAAGTGCATGAAACTGGCTGAAATATACGAACACACTGGGGAAACAAACATCTCCGGCCTCTGTGGAGGCGGAACACAGTTGCTGAGGTCTGTGATTCAGCAGCACCCACCTGGCAAAGCATGCCCAGCATCGGGCTTCGTTCTCCCATAGTGCTTTCATGGCGAGGAAGAAAAGCCATACATACTAACATGGGCCAGCTGGAAACCACAACTATATAGTATTGCTTTTCAGCTTTTCAGCTGGAATTCCGAAAGAACTCTGAGGTCATGTAGAATGCGGCATACTGTTAGATGGGGCCTGGGTGGGCTTGGTGTTACAGGACCTGCCCCAGGTCATGGTCTGTGGTGCGGAGGGAGGGTGTGATTTCCCATCCCCTTCTTATCTCTTTGTCCCATCTTTTTTGCCCTGTACACACATGATCGTCCTCAATATCTTAAGTAGGATCTCCCATATAGCTAAAATTGATATTGGCATCTAAAGTATGCCTAACTTAGCTGAATATTTGGCCTTTGCCTTTAAAGGATCTGTAAGTTATTGGGATGAGACCAAGGAGAAAAAGGAAGACCATAGATAAGCATAATCTGCCATCCAATAATTTCATGACATGCTTATCCTTGGAATAAAGTTGACCTGTTATCAGGAAACTGTCCCACCATTTTTTTTGCATGTAGAGACCTCCATTGCTATGGCCTCCATTGTAATGGGCTGTCATTGGGTTTGAAAAAAGTCTACATGTTGATTTTCATGGCAATAAAAGAGTCAGAGGTGCAAGCTGGAGCAAGGTGCTCGCCAAAGCTAGGCCTTTCCCCTCCCTCAGGAACTGGCAACAAGAGCAAGAGTTAGCTTCCTGAATGTTTGCATTTCAAAGAGAGAACTCTCAGGTCTTTGAGGAGACAATTCTGGAATGTAGATTTACACTTCAAAGGTGGAGAAAAATTTATAATTGCAAGCTTTCTAAGGTTCTAAGAGGGGATTCGGGGCTCTACCTGCCCATCACCAGGTTTTGCCTGAAACAAACAGTAAATTTTCTTTGCAAGTGAGCTTTTTCAGGCAGTCATTTTAAGAGGGCTGGGGTCATCCGCGGGACACCCTTGTGCTGCCGGAAGCCTCACTAGCGTTTGGTCCTCTCTTTGGACAGGGGTTTGGAAGTAGCTAAGTACTGCGAGGCCTGCATTCTCATGACCAAAGCTCACAAATGCCCATTTCTTTATTTCTTTCATTTTAATCTTTGAAATATTTATGTGTCTCTTAACACCTCTTGGAAATTTCCATCCCTTTTGAGCTATGTTCCAGTCAAACCAAACAAAGCGTGGCCCAGCAGCCCTGGGGAGTCTCTGGGTGAAGGGGAGATGAGCACACAAATGTTGAGAGTTTGAGAACCCCTGGCCTTGATTTTTATAATAGTTGGTCAAGTGGTCATCAGTGAAATCCACAGGGATTCCCTGAGAGTGTATAGCTTTGGCATGATGGTTGCTGTAATCTGAAGGGGAAAGTAGAAGTTTACATGTGAGTACTGAAGAAGCTTGAGACAGAGTCTCACTCTGTCACCCAGGCTGGATGAAGTGGGGCCATCTGGGCTCACTGCAACCTCCGCAATTCTCCTGCCTCAGCCTCCCCAGTAGCTGGGATTACAGGCTCCTGCCACCACGTCCAGCTAATTATTTTTTTCTTTAAAATTAGTTTTTATTTAAAAAGTACAAATAGCACTTTACTTTTACTTTTGCAAAAAGTAAAGAAATGGTGTTTTGTTACAAAAATTAAACAAATAAATTTTGGATTGTAGAAAATTCATTAAAAACTCAAGTTTTAATTCAGTTAAAATCCATCTAGTGCTGTAAGTGTGGCTGTTGGCAGATGTCTTATTTATTTTTCATATATTAATTTATATTATTAATAACTAATTTTTTATTTATTATTCGTGAGCCCTTTCCCATGACAACTTCTTGGAAATTTCTTTCTCTCCCACTGACCTAGTATTATCTCTCAGGCATTCTTATTTAAAGTTTTTCCTCTCATTATTCCCTTCTTCACCATCATTCCCAGGTTGGTTACAAAAACTAATTTAATGACCCATTTACTCTGAAGGGAGGCGCAAGAAGTGAAGCTTCTTTCTGAGGCCTTAAGGGATCTCACCTCCTTAAATCTCTGTTTTCCTACCCCTACTTCAGATATTATTGAGACATTATGTTTTCTTCCTCTACCTTCAGAAACTTCAGTATCAACAGGTCCAGATCTGCCTAAGCCCTCAGATGAGTCTGCAAACAATCATTGTGTCAACATTTGACTCATGCCTTGCAGATGATCCCAGGCACCACTGTCTTAACCTGTGAAAACCATAAATTCTTGGCACAGACAACTTCTTCTGCACATCCCTCCTCCTCATACATACACTAAGAGACTTGGCCAAATTCCAACACAGTGTCTATCAGCTCCGAGCCACGTCCCTACGATGCCCCATACCCCTCTAAAGCACCTGCCTGGGAACATTCAATTCTGCCAAAAGAATTTACTGTTTGTCCCACCCAAAACTTGACTATAGGTCCCTGACCTCCCATTTCTAAGAGGTTTAACTTTAGAAAACCTGCAATGGCCAGGCGTGGTGGCTCACACCTGTTATCCCAGCACTTTTGGAGGCCGAGGAGGGCAGATCACGAGGTCAAGAGATCGAGAACATTTTGGCCAACATGGTGAAACCCTGTCTCTACTAAAAAGAGAAAAATTAGCTGGGCGTCATGGCACACACACGCAATCCCAGCTACTCAGCAAGCTGAGGCAGGAGAATCTCTTGAACCTGGGAGGCGGAGGTTGCAGTGAGCCGAGATTGTGCTCAGAGTGAGATTCTGTCTGGAAAAAAAAAAAAAAAAAGACAGATAACCTGCAGTTATAAACCCTTTCTCTGCCCCTTTAAATCTCCTACAACATGGAAATGTCTTTCTGAAAGACTTGGGAGCCATCCCTTTGGACTATAAGGATCAAGAAGGATACAGGATTGTCTCCTGGTCTCTGTCTCTGCGTAGGAACCTAATTTTGATAAGCACTATTAGCAAACACAGATGGCCTCATCACATTGACCAACCTTTCCCCAAACATCAGTCCATGCTTTTCCTTTAGCACACTCCAACATTTGCAGAGCCTCTTGCTTTTTGTTTCAGTGAAGTTGAGGCTTTCTAACATACTATAAATTGATATGTCTACTTATTGATTAGAAGACAGAAATTAATCACTGGATTTCATTATCACGCTGACTTTTAGGATTAAAAGCAGCCTGTGGTTACAGATGCAACATCTTTACATTTCTAAGAAAAACAGGAGAGATTTGTCTTTGGCTCCTTTGGACCTCACTGATTAATGGAGAAGAGAGGATTGAGTAGGTTTGGATGATACAGCACAAGTCAGTTTAAAGTTCCAGGCAAAGAAAGCAACGGTTATTTTTCACTCCAGAGAGTGAATCATTCTTTGGGGCCACAAAAGAGAAGATTTGAAGAATAAGCAGGGACATCTAGAAGGTGGCTGAGTGTACTCCATCGGGTTAAATTAAGCTATTTTGTTGTTGTTCAAATAGCTTCCCCACATGGTACATTTCATATCTAAAGTGTTATTCCCTCTCCCATCATTTTATTACATATGCAATATCTGGCTGAGAACCTCTTTCTTGCCCTCCTTCTTACTGGTTAAGAACACAAACAGTCCTCTCTTTGCACAGCAGTGCAGGGCCATACAAATCACTATGCAAGCTGAAGATCTGTAAAGTGACCTAAACAATCCATGTGAAACATCGACTGTTCTGTGTCATTTAAAAATTTTGGCCAAAACATTAAAAATCTCTTACTGTTGGTTATAAATGTATAAGGAAATGAAACATAGTGAAGTTAGTACTTTTTTTTTTTTGAGATGGAATCTTGCTCTGTCGCCCAGGCTGGAATGCAGTGGCGTGATCTCAGCTCACTGCAACCTCCACCTCCTGGGTTCAAGCTATTCTCCTGCCTCAGCGTCCCAAGTGGCTGGGACTATAGGCACGTGACACTACGCCTGGCTGATTTTTTGTATTTTTAGTAAAGGTGGGGTTTCACCGTGTTACCCAGGATCGTCTTGATCTCCTGACCTCATGATCTGTCCACCTTGGCCTTGCAAAGTGCTGGGATTACAGGAGTGAGCCATCACGCCTGGCCAGTACTTAGTTTATACACTGTAATTTAAAACATTAAACAACAGCCAATTAAAGTGCTTTATTTATTTATAGACGTGTATCAAGCCCAGTTTGAAAAGTGCTTGCCTCCCTCTTGTCGTATAGCTTATGATAAGGAGCCAGCAGTGTTTCTATGCCTTGGTGAACTGTCGTGCTGTTTTTGGAACAGCATCTAACATTGTCAACGTCATGCAATATCTACAAGAGTTCCTTTAATATGAAGTTTGTTGCTGTCTTTGCCGGCATCACTTCCTCTGGGGCTTCTTCATCCTTTTAATCACAGCTGCGTTCCTCATTTATGTCAGAACACTGCGTTGCGCCGAGTTCCTCTTGCCGCGTTTCCTGTGGTGAGCCAATTCTATGATTCCATTTACATTGTATTTGAATCCACTTCCAGGGTTATCACATTTTTTATTTCTTTGCTGCACATCAATGGTTGTTGACAAGTTTTTTCTTCTGATTATTCATATTTATAAATGTCACATGGGTTTCTCACTGGGAGACAAGGAATCAACACGATTGCAGACTTTGCTGTCTGTGTGCGAACTAGCTGATGCACATTGATCAGTCACTGGCAGGCTTTGAAGGAAGTGAATTGTGTTCCCCAAAAAAGATATGTTTGAAATCCTAATCCCCAATATCTCCAAATAATATCAGCTTATTTGGAAATAGCACATTTACAGAGGTTCTCAAGTTAAAATGAGGTCATTAGGGTGGGTCCTAATCCAATAGACTAACTGGTGTCTTATAGTGAAGGAGAATTTGGATACAGCTCCAGACACACACACACAAAAGACGATGTGAAGACACACTGAGAAAATGCAGTGACATATCTGTAGGTCAAACAACACCAAGGATGGCTGGCAAACCCAAACAGGAAGGAGAGGGGAAGAAGGATTCTCCCCTAGAGCCAGCAGAGAGCATGAACCTACCAACACATTGCTTTTTGACTTCTAGCCTCCACAACTACGAGTCAATACATTTCTGTTGTTTTAAGCAACCCGGTTTTTTGTACTTTGTTGCAGCATCCCCACAAGATTAATACAGTCCCTGATCATGATGCTTGTCTGTTATTTACTCACACAGGCATTTGTGGAATTAAGAGCTGGGAATGAAGTTTGGATTTTATGCAGTTGCTCACAGTTAGCATATGGTGGTAACCGAAATTGTAACCAGGTTGTTGGGAGACTAGTGCTATTTAACTAAACTATGTTAATTAAACCTGTGCATATTCAAATGTGCAAAGCCAGGACTGTTTTTACTTAGTTCAGGTATTTAGAGGGAAAGAATGTTTGCCTCTTTTCAGGGCTTTGGAGCATGCCCTGTGCCAGCAGGCCCCTTCCACAGCTACTTAACATCTCTTCTCGTCTTACTAGCCACCTCTCAACTCAGATGACCAGCAAGGCCATCTTTGACTATCAGAATGAAGTAGCCCGTCTCCACTTTTGATTACATTCATTTGCTTTATTGTCTTTACAGCATTTTTATTTACTAAAATAATAGTTTTTCATTACTTGATTCTTACCTTGATTCAGTACTTCTAAAAAATGCAGATTACAATTCAAATGAGAAACCAAGTTGACTAACGTTAAAACGTTTGATACTATTAAGTATTGTTGAGAATATAGATCTACCAGAACCTTTAACTTCTCATGGGAGCATAAATTGGAAAACAGTTCATTTTAACGTAGTAAAACCAACAGTATACAAATCTTTTGACACAATTATTTGAATGTTGGGTTTTTACCTTAGAGAAAATCTACCTTTTATGTCCAGGAGACTCATACAAGAAAAGGACATCTAGTTTTGTAATAGAAAAAAATGGATAACCCCAATCTAATAAAATGGAATGCTCATTATAGTATTATCCTGTGATGGAATACTCTAAATCAATGCACAGAAAGTACAGACAAACATATCATAAGAATGAATTTTACAAATTAAATATTGAACCAAAAAGCAATTTCAGAAAAATATATTCAGTGTGATTCCATTTGTTTAAACTGAAAAATATGTGAAACAATAATGCTCAATGTCCTTTACTAATGCATTTATTTTGGCAAAATTATAAAGATAAGAAATGGGACTCATTAACAGGACAGTGTTAAGGACTCTAAAAATACGGGTAGTTTTTTATTCTTAGGCAGGTAATGTGTACATCAGTGTTCATTTTATTATTTCTTACACTGTCTTCATGACTTACACATAATATTTTGCTAGTTTTAAAACATAAGATGTGATAATAATCTAAACAGACCAAAGGAAAAAAATGAATATGTTAAAAAAAAAGACAGAGAATGAGCCCTGTCTGATAGAAAGCATAACAAAGCAAGTAGAAGAACTCTCACAAATGCTTGATCCAATAAAGCTAGGTTTGTGCTCCACAACACTTCAGCATTTTAATGTGATTTTTGATGTTTGCTTTTTGCAACGGTGATTCCCAGTTGCCTCCCTCCTATGTCTTTACAAGCTGAAATCAAGTGAAGCTACTTCTGACTTTTTCTAAAACTAAAACACAACATGAAGGTCTGCGTATTCTTTCACATGTGCACATATGTGGCACTTTTCCATGATGCAACAGCAGCGGGTCTCTAGCTAAGCTACAGCAGCAGCTCTAAGAGGCAGGGGACCCTGAAACGAGGCTGAAAAAAAGAATAGTCCATAACTGACATCAGGCAGGCTGCTGTTGTAAGCAAAGAAAGGAGGCTCACAGGGGCGTGGACTCAGGCCAGATCAGGCTATTGTGGGAGAACACGGAGCACATGTGTCAGCTGGAAAGGGGCTGGCTCAGGAGACAAAATAGGCACGAGAGGAAACCCAAAAATTGACATACATGACTATCCTTGTAGAAATGTATAAAGGTTTGGATTATTTTGCTTATCGAGTTATAATAAAGTTATTCTAAAAATGTTTATGTAAAGTATTATGTACATTTTTGTTACCTTATAAAGATTATTTATATTTGAGTTGTGTGGTTTTGGAATGACAGTATTTGTAAACTTGGTTTTGACATTCTCTACGATGCTTAATGAAGAAACTGACATTTAAAGCGATTCATTAATTCTCTTTGGTCAGTAGCTGAGCTGGGACAGAGTTCAGGTTTTCTGATTCTCAGCCTATGTTGTTTTCTCTTCATTTTAATGTGAACCTAAATATGTATAGGATCTAGACAAATATGACATGTAGTGCCTTATTTCTTGTTTTCTCTGTAATGAATGCCAGGTGAGATAACTTTATTTACAGAAGCCATCCAGTGGCTCAGGTTGCATCAGGTTGCCTTTGAATCATTTATTCAACGTCAGGATGGTAAAGTGAGGAGCTTCCCCAAACTGAAGCAGAGTGGCATCTGTCCCAGGTTGTAGAGTATTCCCTGCCATAAATAAAGACATGCTGGTTCTTGTTATTTATACAGGCACTGGGGTTCCCATTAGCTCTTACATTTCATATGCTTAGAGCAAGAAGCTAGAGAGTGACTTAGGATACAGTGTAAATATATTAGTAAATTAAGACAGTTCTGCAAGATTTTTAGGACTTCTATTTTTCTTCTATTCATCATTTATGAAGTATTCTTGCTAGAAATAGTTTATGTCTCTCTATCTTGCTGAGTGATGAATACTCGGCCAGGATGCTAAAATGTGGTTTCATGAAGTATGTTGTGTTTCTGTCTGTTCTTGTTTCCTTCCTTGAAATGTGTAAAAGTGAAAAACATACTAATCATAAATCAGGTATTCATCATAAGCCTAAAAAAAGATAAAATAATCAGTAGTATCATTGACTAAAATTATTACTCACCAAAAGAAACTCACTCCAAAGTTAGCGCAATACTAACAGAGAATACAAGTTTTGCCAGGAATCACTGAGGCTTAGTACCTCACATGGGAAACATGGGAAGTAAAACCACCTGAGGAGCCACTTGATGGTGAGTCAGGCTGTTCCTCAAAGAGTAGGCTGTGACTGCCAAACTTTGTAGGTTAAGGAGTATTTATAATGATCTTTGAGGAAACTGCAACTGACAATTGAGGGAAAAAATATTAGTTCATGACTGCAAAATACATGACAGAGTCACAAAAACTATTTTACAAGTTTAAAAAAAAAACCTGATGCTGATGCAAGGTAGGCGAACCCCAAAGTGGTGCTTAGCCTGCAAGGGTTCTTGGCTTCACCCAGGAAAGGATTCAAGGGCGAGCCAGTGGTAAGGTGGAAGAAAACACCTTTATCAAAGCAGCACTGTTACAGCTCCTGCAGGGTCACAGCTCAGTGACTGCTCCCAGGGTTGCCCCATAGGCAGGGTGCCGAGAGTAGCAGCTGAGCCCAGTTTTGCTGTCATATGTATACCTACTTTTAATTACATGTAGATTCAGGGGTGGTTTGTGCAGAAATTGCTAGGAAAAGGGTGGTAACTTTTGGGTCATCAGGTCATTGCTGCTGAAAGGGGTGGTAATGCCTGAGTGTTGCCATGGCAATGGTAAACTGACAGGGCACACTGGTGGGTGTGTCTTACAGAAAGCTGCTTCCACTCTGTCCTTGTTTAGCTAGCCCTCAATTTTTTGTTTGTAAATGAGCAAGAGAGTCGTGGCCTTGGCGTTTTATCCCAGAAGTACAGTGGACCCCAGAGCACTCTAGACCCAAGGGCTAAACCAAATCACAGCATCCCACAGTTGTGTCCAGCCCTCCATCACTGATTGGCTGCAATCCAACAAGTGGCCCAGAGGGGAGGGTTCATTGAAAGCTCTTTGCTAAGTGACAGGTCTTTAAGAAGGAAAAGGCTCTTAAAGATTGGTATGGGATGGGGGAAGTGTTTGTGGTCACCACGGCACCCCAAGGCTGTGGCCTTCTCTGAGCACCATGAGACTCAGCCATGTCTTTCTCTCTGTTTTCCCACAAAACCAGCCAGTGCTGAAGCATATCCTCCTGGCCTACAAACAGTGGCCATGACTTCCAACTCATCCAGGCTACTTCTGATTTAGTGTTAGGCCGCCCACTTGATGTGTATGTTCCCATGCTGTGTTGACCCTATTACTTAATGAAAACACACAGCACTCGTTTGCTTCTCGACTTACTTCTCATGAAATATTACTATGCCTCCCCACCCAATCACAATCCTTTGCTGCCAAAAATCCCTTGCTACCCTGTACATTTTGTCCACTAAGGGAACCCCTCAGCACACACACACAATGGTGCTACTGAAACCAGATCACTGTCTCATTTAGGTTAGATATGTCAGAAACCCTTCTCTCCTAAGTCGACCTGATGCTCTATGTCAATCGCTCCTACTTCTGGAAGGAGGTTGGGACCTTCCAGCCTGGATATGCCATCACTCATCTACACAAAACTCTTGAATGCCAAGCTTTGCCACACGTTAAATCAGCCAAAGTGGCTAAATTAACTGTTCTCATTCAGGCTTATATAAGGCAGAGGGAATTAAGATTAGCACCTACAGTGACAGACACTGGGTCTTTGGTGTAGTGCATGATTTTGGTATGTTTTGAAAACAGAGAGGATTCATGACAGCAACTTGTCCCCAGTCAAAAGTAAACCCCAAATAGCAGAACTTCTAGAGTCATTGCTATTGCCCCAGCTAGTTGTTACAGTTAAAGCTGAGGGATATAGTATAAAATACTCAGATGAGGCTCAGGGAAATAAATTGGCTGATAAAGGTGCTAAGCTAGCATCCTCTTCCTTGGCCGCCTAAGAAATCCAGGAAGTCTCCAAACCTTGTGACTAGATACCTGGGCTTCATTTCAAATACCCACAGTCCTGCTAGGATTATTTACCCTCTTTAAATAAATTGACAGAAGCAATGTCTTTACAATGCCTCTAAAGGAAATGTAAAATTCACACAGCCCAGATAACAATTTCAGAGTCAGAAAGAATTGGATGAGAAAAAGGTGAATGTTTGACCCACTTAAGTGGACTTCAGAAATACCCAGATGGCCATTTGATAACTCCTAAGTCTGTCTCCCAAGTCATTGTGTACAATTTGCTCATCCAGATTTACCACAGAAAGGATAACATGTAGTATATATTAAACAAAACAATATGGCTTGGACTCTTTAGATTTTATTTGGACCAAGCTGTTGCCATTTGCTGCATCTACCAACAACATAATCCTCCAAAAAGCATAAAGGTGGGGCAAAAAAGGGAAGTGGCTCCCTCTACATCCTTCCTTCACTGGAAAATAGGCTTCCTTCACTGGAAAATAGAATGGGAGGCTTTCCCTGTTGAAACTCCTCAAGGACATCGGTTGCCAAGGTTTATTAAGAGTGAATCTTCCCCACATGGGTTATCCCCTCTACTGCCTCTAGTGACAGAGGATCACATTTCACTGGCAAAATTATTCAGGAAATAGGAAAGGTTACACACACCAGCCAAATATTCCACTGGACTTACCATCCTCAGTGATAAAGTTCTATACAAAGAGCCAACAGCATCCTCAAGCTGAACTGGCTAAACTGTCTGAAGAAAGAACTTGCCATGGCCACAGATATTACCCATCACACTGACTCTCAGATCCTTGGCCCTACCTTCACACAAACGATCCTCTTTGAATCATTACGGGATACCCATGAGAATAACCTACTAATGCAAACTAGCCGAAGATTCCAAACTAACTCAGTTCAACAACCTCAGATATTGTCAGGGATTAATTAAATACACACAGCCCCACTATACTCCACAATTGAGGCTTCTTGTATCTTTAAACTCCCTGATCAGTCCTTACTTGCTTCATAAGTAAGTGATCTGGCATTTTGAAAAAACACCAACATCAGAAAACTAACCTTGAACCCAGAGGGAGGGGACCTTTTATTGTTTCACTCATTGCTAACACTGCTAACAAATTACAGAGTGTTTGAACTTGGGTGCATGTCTTTTAGTTGAAAAAATACAAAATCTATTTCAATTGGAAGGCACTCTAACCAGAGACTCACGCTGAGACTCTATGAACAACCTCCAGGCCAGGCGCGGTGGCTCACGCCTGTAATCCCAGCACTTTCGGAGGCCGAGGCGGGCGGATCACGAGGTCAGCAGATAGAGACCATCAGGTGAAACCCCGTCTCTACTAAAAATACAAAAAAATTAGCCGGGCGCTAATTGGCGGGCTCCTGTAGTCCCAGCTACTCGGGAGGCTGAGGCAGGAGAATGGCGTGAACCCGGGAGGCAGAGCTTGCAGTGAGCCGAGATTGAGCCACTGCACTCCAGCCTTGGGAACAGAGCAAGACTCAATCTCAAAAAGAAAAGAAAAAAAAAAAAAAGAACCTCCAAACTTTGCAGCGAGCAGAGATTGCACCACTGCACTTCAGCCTGGGTGACAGAGCAAGACTCGGTCTCAAAAAAAAAAAAAAAAAAAAAAAGAAAAGGAAAGGAAAGAAAAGAAAAGAACCTCTAAAAGTAGCCAAGAGCTGGAGACAGACATCCATCCTAAGAACTACGGAGCAAGTAAATGATATGATGAAGCAGTCCGCTTCTGCCAAAGATCCTGAAACAAGATTCACTCCGATTCCCCTTCTTTGTCTCTGACTTCAATTTTGGGTCTACGCATTCTGCTACTACTCCTGTGTCCTCTACAACGTCCCATCTTTATCCTAGTGATGTGTCCTACTTACAACATATATACTCCATCTCCAGCCTCAGCAGCCCTGTCATGATTCCCCTCTGTTTCCTCCTTATCTTACCCTATCCCGTGCTTTCCTCTCATGACCGTAATTCCCTCGGTCTCTTAGCTGACAAAGTAGCCAATGAAATTAACCAAAGTAATTGCCGGGTCTATGCCCATTCCCACTCTATCCTAAAACTCGTATTCCCTTAATAATTGTCTCCCTTATGCTTTAGATGGCCTTGGCAGAAAACATTACAAATATACAGCCATTTAGGTCTCCCTTTTAGAAAGATATTGGGTTATTTCTTAAAAGCCCTTGTGACTGGGAGTATGATGTGGCCTCTTTAACCTAAGAAACGTGGTGTTTTACTAGAAATCAGTCTAATAAATATAGTCACCCTGTGGAACACAGTAAATGCTCTGTGTCCTTGTGAAAAGATGAAACCTATTTTCAAGAAACAGACATTCTTTGTAAGAGCCAAACTCCCATTAAGGACAGCATTGTCTGCAATACCCACGCAATACCAGTATCATAGGAAATTATTTTACCCCGGATCAATATTTTGGTGAACTGAAAGACTGGGCAAAAAATTGCTGGCTAAATGGTACCAAAGTACCCAGCCATTTAGAAGATGATGTTTGTAACTGTCTCTTTGGAGTCTATTCCAGGTTAGCTCCTCTAGCCTCTGTTACAACCACTAGAGGCAATAACCAACACTAGTATGCCCTCAAGGGACATTATTTAGTATGTGGTCATAAAACCATACAAAGTACTTCCAGCCCATTGGGCTGGCTGCTGCGATGTGGCTTATGCTGTCCCTCAAATGGAAATGTATGAAAAATTTCCCAATGGAAAAATTAGAAACATGAGTGCTCCTACAATTGCTGAGCCTGAAACTTGTGAATGGATAATGGCTGGATGACAAACAGCCTTAAACAGGTCCGGGGAGAGCCACTTGCTCAGGCCAAACTTACAGGGTGCTCTGTTCTTGATATTCTACCCTTTGTCACCAGGTCAGCCAACTCCTATGCTGTAAGATACATCTGACGAAGGACTAGTATCCATAATCTAAAAGGAACTCCAACAAATTAGCAAGAAAAAAAACACATAATCCTACTAAAAAGTGGGCAAATGACATGAACAGATATTTCTCAAAAGAAGATATGGAAACGGCCAACAAATATATGAACAAATGCTCAACATCACTAATCATCATGGAAATTCAAATTAAAATCACAGTGAGATACCATCTAGTCAGAATTATCTTACCCTAGCCAAAAGGTTAAAACACAAACAAACAAACAAACAAAAACAGATGTTGGCACAGATGTGGTGAAAGAGAATGCTCATACACTGTTGGTGGGAATGAAAATTAGTACAACCTCTGTGAAAAACGATGTGGAGATTTCTCAAGGAACTAAATGTAGATCTACTATTCAATCAGCAATCCCACTACTGGTATCTACCCAAGGAAAAGAAGTCATTATATATAAAGAACACTTGCACATGGATGTTTATCACAGCACAATTCACGATAGCAGAGATACGGAATCAAGCTGAGTGCCAATCAACGGAGGAGTGGATAAGGAAAATGTGGTACATATAAAAAATGGAATACTACAGGCCCAGCCAGGTGGCTCACGCCTGTAATCCCAGCAGTTGGGGAGGCCGAGGCAGGTGGATCATGAGGTCAGGAGTTCAAGACCAGCCTGGCCAAGATGGTGAAACCCCATCTCTACTGAAAATACAAAAATTAGCTGGGCATGGTGGCGGGCACATGTAATCCCAGCTCCTCGGGAGGCTGAGGCAGAGAATTGCTTGAACCCGGGAGGTAGAGGTCGCAGTGAGCTGAGATCACACCACTGCACTCCAGGCTGGGCAACAGAGCGAGACTCCATCTCAACAACAACAACAAAAAGGAATACTACTTAGCCACACACGCACACAAATGTCTTTTGCAGCAACTTGGAACTGGAGGCCATTACCATAAGTGAAGTAACTCAGGAATGGAAAAACCAAATACTGCATGTTCTTACATATAAGTGGGAGCTAAGCTATGGGTACACAAGGTATACAGAGGGGCATAATGGACATTGGAGGCTCAGAGAGGAAGGGAGAGGGATAAAAAAAAATCACCTCTTGGGTACACTGTAAATTATTTGGTGACAGATACAGTAAAAGCCCAGACTTCTCCACTATACAATTTATTCATATAACCAAAAACTATTTGTACCCCTTAAGCTATTGAAATAATAATTTAAAAAATAATTAGTAGAGTTCATCTCAAACTTAATATAAGCTTTTGTTTCATAAATCCATGAGGTATTGGAGCTTCTAAAATGACTTTACAAAACTAGCTCGCCTTAGACTACATACTGAGTTTTCAAGAAGGTGCTTGTGCACTGGTGAGTTCCCAATGCTTTTCATTCATGAATGATAAAGAGAAATGAATCAAGAAGTCGTGGCAGCACGTGCCTGAGAAGCAGCCAACATAGCTCACGCCCCTCCAGACAGGCTTAGTCTCTAAGGAGAAAATGGTTTCCCCAGCCAAATGGCTTAGGAGACTTTTTAAGGGACTTGGCTTTTTTTTTTTTCTTTTAACTTTTATTGTAAGGTCAGGGGTACATGTGAAGATTTGTTACAAAGGTAAACTCATGTCATGGGGTCTTGTTGTACAGGTTATTTAATCACCCAGGAATTAAGCCCAGTACCCAACAGTTACTGTTTCCACTCCTCTCCCACCTCCCACACTGCATGCTCAAGCAGACCCCAGTGTCTGCTGTTTCCCTCTTTGTGTTAATAAGTTCTCATCATTTAGCCTTCACTTACAAGTAAGAACATGCAGTATTTGGTTTTCTGTTCCTGCGTTAGTTGCTGAGGATAATAGCCTCCAGCTCTAGCCATGTTCCTGCAAACGACATAATCTCATTCTTTTTTACAGCTGCATGGTACTCCATGGTGTATATGTACCACATTTTCTTTATCCAATCTGTCATTGATGGGCATTTAGGCTGATTCCATGTCTTTGCTATTGTGAATATTGCTGCGATGAACATTTACATGTGCAAGTGTCTTTATGGTAGACTGGTTTATATTCCTCTGGGTATATACCCAGTACTGGGATTACTGAGTTAAATAGCAGTTCTGCTTTTAGCTCTTTGAGGAATCACCATATTGCTTTCCACAATGGTTAAACTAATTTACATCCCACCAATGTGTCTAAGTGTTCCTTTTTCTCTGCATTCTCACCAGCATCTGCTATTTTTTGACTTTTTAACAATAGCCTTTCTGACTGGTATGAGACAGTATGTCACTATGGTTTTGATGTGCATTTCTCTAATGATTAGTGATAGATATTGAAGTTTTTTTCATATGCTTGTTGGATGCATGTGTGTCTTCCTTTGAAAAGTTTCTGTTCATGTTCTTTGCTCACTTGTTAATGGGGTTGTTTGTTTTTCTCTGGGAAATTTGTTTATGTTCCTTATAAATGCTGAATATCACACCTTTGTCGGATGCATAGTTTGCAAATATTTTCTCCCAGTCTGTAGGTTGTCTGTTAACTCTGTCCATAGTTTTCTTTTGTTGTGCAGAAGCTCTTAAGTAAATTGGATCCCCCTTGTCATTGTTTGCTTTCGTTGCAATTGCTTTTAGCATCTTTGTCATGAGATCTTTGCCTATTCCTATGTCCAGGATGATATTGCCTAGTTTGTCTTCATGGGTTTTCATAGTTTTGGGTTTTACACTATGTCTTTAATCCTTTTGAGTTGATTTCTGTATCTGGTGTAAGGAAGGGTGGTGTAAGGAAGAGTGGATGCTTCAGTTTTCTGCATATGGCTAGCCAGTTATCCCAGCACCATTTATCAAATAGGGAATTGTTTCCCCATTGCTTGCTTTTGTCAGCTTTGTTGAAGATCAGGTGGTCATAGGTGTGCAACCTTATTTCTGGGCTCTTGATTCTGTTCTGTTGGTTTATTTGCCTGTTTTTGTACCAGTACCATGTTGTTTTTGTTACTGTAACCCTGTAATATAGTTTGAAGTTGAGTAACATAATGCCTCCAGCTTTTCTCCTCTTTACTTAGGATTGTCTTGGCTATTCAGGCCTTAGTTTTTTGGTTCTATATTAATTTTAATATAGTTTTCCTAGTTTTGTGAAGAATGTCATTGGTAGTTTGATATGAATAGTATTGAATCTGTAAATTGCTTTGGGCATTATGACCATTTTAATTATGTTGATTCTTCCTATCCATGAGCCTGAGATATTTTTTCATTTGTTTGTGTCATCTCTGATGTCTTTGAGCAGTGTTTTGTAATTCTCATTGTAGAGAATTCTACACCTCCCTGGTTAGCTGTATTCCTAGGTATTTTATCCCTTTTGTGGCTATTGTGAGTGGGAATGCTTTTCTGATTTGGCTCTTGTTTTGGCTGCTGTCGGTGTATAGGAATTCTAGTGATTTTTGTACATTGATTTTGTATCCTGAGACTTTGCTAAAGTTGTTTATCAGCTAAAGGAGCTTTTGGGCTGAAGGAATGAGGCTTCTGGATATAACATCATGTCATCTGCAAACAGAGATAGTTTGACTTCTTTTCCTATCTAGATGCTCTTTACTTCTTTCTCTTTCATGATTGCTCTGGCTAGGACTTTCACAACTATTTTGAATAGGAGTGGTGAGAGAGGGCAGCCTTGTTTTGTGCCAGTTTTCAAGAGCAAAAAGCTTCCGGCTTTTGCCCGTTCAAAGTGATATTGGCTGTGGATGTGTCATAGATGTCTCTTATTATTTTGAGGTATATTCCTTCAACACCTACTTTATTGAGAGTTTTTAACATGAAAGGGTGTTAAATTTTATCTAGAGCTTTTTTTCTGCATTGATTGAGATAATCATGTGATTTTTGTCTTTAGTTCTGTTTATGTGATGAATCACATTTATTGATTTGCATATGTAGAACCAACCTTGCATCCCAGGAATGAAGACTATTTGATCATGGTGGATTAGCTTTTTGATGTGCTGCTGGATTTGGTTTGCAAGTATTTTGCTGAGGATTTTTGCATGATGTTCATCAAGGATATTGGCCTGAAGTTTTCTTTTTGGTCATTGTGGCTCTGCCAGGTTTTAGTATCAGGATGATGGTGGCCTCATAGAATGTGCTAAAGAGGAGTCACTCCTTCTCAATTTTTGGGGGGGTACTTTCCCTAGGAATGGTACCAGTTCTTTGTACATCTGGTAGAATTCAGCTATGAATCCATCAGGTCCTGAGCTTTTTTTGGTTGGTAGGCTATTTGTTACTGGTTCAATTTTGGAGCTTGTTACTGGTCTGTTCAGGCAATCAATTTCTTCCTGGCTTAGTCTTGGGTGGGTATATGTGTCCAGGAATTTATCCATGTTTTCAAGGTTTTCTAGTTTGTGTGCATAGAGGTGTTCAGAGTAGTTTTTAGTGGTTATTTGATTATTTTTATTTTTGTGCAGTCAGTGTTAGCATTCCTTTCATTTCTTTTTTTTTTTTTTTGAGACAGAGTCTTGCTTTGTCATCCAGGCTGGTGTACAGTGGCACCATCTTGGCACACTGCAGGCTCTGCCTCCTGGGTTCAAGCAATTCTTGTGCCTCGGCCTCCTGAGTAGTTGGAACTACAGTTGTGTGCCACCATGCCCAGCTAATTTTTGTATTTTTAGTAGAGAGGGTTTCACCACGTTTGTCAGGCTGCTCTCAAACTCCTGGCCTCAAGTGATCTACCCGCTTCAGTCTCCCAAAGCACTGGGATTACAGGTATGAGCCACCACACCGGGTCTCAAAATTTTAGTTGTGTTTATTTGGACCTTTTCTCTTTTTTTCTTTATTAGTCTAGGTGTTGGCCTATCTTACTAATTTTTTCAAAAAAATAATCCTGGATTCATCAATCTTTTGAATTATTTTTGTGTCTTAATTTTCTTCCATTCAGCTCCAATTTTGGTTATGTCTTGTCTTCTGCTAGCTTTGGGGTTGATTTGTTATTGCTTCTGTAATTCTTTTAGTGGTGATATTAGGTTGTTAATTTGAGATCTTTCTAACTTTTTGAGATTTTTCTAACTTTTTGATGTGGGCAGGTAGTGCTATGAATTTCCCTCTTATCATTGCCTTACCTGTGTCCCAGAGATTCTGGTATGTTGTATCTTTGTTCACATTATTTTCAAAGAACTTCTTGATATCTGCCTTAATTTCATTATTTACCCAAAAGTCATTCAGAAACATGTTGTTTAATTTCCATGTAATTGTATGGTTTTGAGTGATTTTCTTAGTCTCAACTTTTATTTTTACTGCACTGTCGTCCAAGAGTGTGTTTGGTAAGAATTCGGTTCTTTTACATTTGCTAAGCATTGTTTTATGTCCAATTATGTGGCTGATTTTAGAGTATGTGCCATGTGGTGATGAGAAGAATGTATATTCTGTTGTTTTTGAGTGGAGAGTTCTGTAGAGGTCAATCAGATACATTTGATCTAATGCTGAGTTCAGGTCCTGAATATGTTTTTTAATTTTCTGCCTTGGTGATCTATCTAATAACTGTTAGTGGAGTGTTGAAATCTCCCACTGTTATTGTGTGAGACTCTATGTCTCTTTGTAAGTCTCTAAGAACTTGCTTTATGAATCTGGGTGCTCCTGTATTGGGTGCACATATATTTAGGATAGTTAGATCTTCTTGTTGAATTGAACTCTTTACACCATTATGTAATGCTCTCCTTTGTCTTTTTTGATCTTGGACTTGGCTTCTTAAAAACATCCTTAATGGCAATATTCTTTGTCTCTTAAGTACACCTCTATTCTTCTTCTTTTTTTTTTTCAGATAGAGTCTCACTCTGTCACCAGGCTGGAGTGCAATGGCACTATCTCTACTCACTGCAACCTCCCCCTCCCGGTTCAAGCGATTCTCCTGCCTCAGCCTCCTGAGTAGCTGGGACTACAGGCGCGTGCCACCATGCGCAGCTAATTTTTGTATTTTTAGTACAGACAAGGTTTCACCATGTTGGCCAAGATGGTCTCGATCTCTTGACCTCGTGATCCGCCCTCCTCAGCCTCCCAGAGTGTTGGGATTACAGGCATGACCCACCAAGTGCATCTCTATTCTTATGAGACAATTGTGCCGCCATTGATAATACGCCAAACCTCGATTCTTGCATTTACCACCTTGACTCTTCCTGAATTGCACAACGGTGATAAACAATGGCTGAACTTTTTTCTTTTGAGGACTTTGGAGTGCAACAACTATATTTATTCTATGAGAAAGAAATTCATTCTTTCTCTTGAACAAGAGGAGGGACTGTGAACTTCCCTGAAGCCAAAAAGATTTGCCTAAACACTGTGCTAAGAGACTTGACCAAACATTAGCCTGGCTGCCACTTGGAGTAGTTAACCCCAGGCCCTGTGCTGAGTCTTTGCTCAAGAAAATACAATGCTACCAAACCACATAATGTATATTGTCGTAACCGATGATGTCAAATCATTTTCAGTAATTCTCTACTTACCTCCCGCTCTTTTTTTTTTTTTTTTTTTTTTTTGAGAAGGAGTCTCCCTCTCTCCCCCAGGCTGGAGTGCAGTGGTGTGATCTCAGCTCACTGCAAGCTCCCCCTCCCAGGTTCACGCCATTCTCCTGCCTCAGCCTCCTGAGTAGCCGGGACTA
This sequence comes from Homo sapiens, assembly GCF_000001405.40. NCBI lineage: Eukaryota > Metazoa > Chordata > Mammalia > Primates > Hominidae > Homo > Homo sapiens. The sequence continues at coordinate 39,834,907 of NC_000009.12, read as the reverse complement.
CAGGCGCCCGCCACCATGCCCGGCCAACTTTTTGTGTGTTTTTAGTAGAAACGGGGTTTCACCATGTTAGCCAGGATGGTCTCGATCTCCTGACCTCGTGATCTGCCCGCCTCTGCCTCCCAAAGTGCTGGGACTACAGGCGTGAGCCACCGTGCCAGGCTCTTACCCCCTTTTATAATTTGCATTTTCACGTAGTCCTCAGTCCCTTTTTTAATTCCCCTCTTTTTACTTTTCCATAGTTTCTTTTTATTTCCCATTTGTTCTCTTTTTAAAAACATCAGCCTCCTTTGTCTTACTTGGAGTTGAGCTTAGTTTATACTGAAGTCTCTCCCTCCTGCTGAAATAGTCTGAATACAATAGGTCTCATTGCCTTTAGCAAGTATCCAGCACTGCTGTTTTTCTTTGACAATTTCTAGGGTTGCCTTAGATGAAGTGGGGTGAAAGGGCATTAGAAGGCACAGGCCAAAAGATCAGAACTCTGGACTCTCAGTCCCAAATTCTACTAGTAGAGCTCCTTTTTCATATTCTTCATACACTGGGGGCTTTGCTGAGAGTTTGCTGGACTGAATATAGGAAGAACAACAGACTTCTGAAGTTAGTCACATCTGTCCTTGATTCAATTATACCAACATGAGGATTCTCAAAGTTATTTTTTTCCTAGAAATGCTTTATTTTCAGGAAATATTTATTTAGCGTTGATGACTTGAGTATTAATCTCAAGGCAAGGAAATGAGGGAAATGACCTCCTGATGTCTTTCCCATGAATCTGTAACTCGGTGGTCAGCTTCTTCCCATGTTATTTTTCTTGTGGCACCTCAGTGATTTTATTAGTTTCACCGCAAGTACTCCCAGCAAGGGAAATCAGTGATCCCAAAGGCACCAGGCTGGAGTTTTCCCGCATAAAGATCACTCTTTGAAGCAGCTCCTTACTAGAAATTTGTTATGTTTACCTTTGCCAATCATCTATGATTAGTGTAGTAATTATTCTGTTTTTGCTATCTTTTATTTTTGATACTCACTGAAGGCTTCACTTATCAACGATTAAGGCATGTGTTTCTGCTTTGATTCAGTGTCTTCTTAGTATGAGCATGGTGGTATAATTTTCTTGAATCAGTGCTGGGATTTATTTGATTATGAAAATTTATTTTCATTCAAGTATTTTAAATGCACTTTTAATATTAAGTACATTTAATATTACATGTAATATTAACTTGAAGTGTAACTAATATGAACAAATTCCCGAAGTACATGAAAATAACTTTTAATCATGTAAGTATGACTATTTAATTTATTTCTTTTCACAATATAAAAAGCACATGCGATATTTTGAAAGACTATTAAAGGTGGGGAGAAGAGGTTATTTAAATCTATGTTTGGATGCAACTTTTATGGCTTAAACTACAAAGAATTATCCTTTTTATATATTAAATGATTGTATAGTTTTTTTAATACTGTTTTTTGATACAAGTGTGAAATTCTTAAAGAAAATGGCAAACATCACTAACAACCATTACAATTCTAATAGCTAACTTTTCTGAGCCATTACTTGGAACCACGCGCTGTTTAAAACGCCTCACTTGGCCAGGCGCGGTGGCTCATGCCTGTAATCCCAGCACTTTGGTAGGCCGAGGCAGGTGGAACACGAGGTCAGGAGATCGAGACCATCCTGGACAACATGGTGAAACTCCGTATCTATTAAAAATACAAAAATTAGCCGAGTGTGGTGGCCTGTGCCTATAGTCCCAGCTACTCAGAAGGCTGAGGCAGGAGAATCAAAAATCATCTTTATCCGAGTTCCCAACAAGTTCCCCATCTCCATCTGAGACCACCTCAGCCTGGACTTCATTTTCCATGTCACTATCAGCATTTTGGTAGAAGCCATTCAAGTCTCTAGGAAGTCCCAAGCTTTCCCACATCTTCTTGTCTTCCAAGCCCTCCAAGTCTCTAGGAAGTTCCACACTTTCCCACATTCTTCTGTCTTCTTTTTTTTTTTTTGAGATGGAGTTTCGCTCTTGTTGCCCAAGCTGGAATGCAGTGGTGCAATCTCTGCTCACTGCAACCTCCACCTCCCATGTTCAAGCCATTCTCCTTCCTCAGCCTCCCAAGTAGCTGGGATTACAGGCATGCACCACGATGCCCAGCTAATTTTATATTTTTAGTAGAGATGGGGTTTCACCATGTTGGCCAGGCTGGTCTCAAACTCCTGACCTCAGGTCATCCACCTGCCTCGGTCTCCCAAAGTCCTGGGATTACAGGGATGAGCCACCACACCCAGCCTTTACTGTCTTCTTCTGAACCCTCCAAACTATTCCAACCTCTGCCTGTTGCCCAGTTCCAAAGTCACTTCCACATTTTAGTGTATCCTTATAACAGCACCCTATGTCTGTGGTACCAATTTACTGTATTAGTCTGTTTTCATGCTGTTATGAAGAACTACTCAAGACTGGGTAATTTATAAAGAAAAGAAGTTTAATTAACTCATAGTTTGACATGGCTTGGAATGCCTCAGGAAACTTACAATCATGGCCGAAGGCACCTCTTCACAGGGTGGCAGCAGAAACAATGAGTTTTGAGTGAAGGAAGAAGCCCCTTATAAAACCATCAGATCTTGTGAGAACTCACTATCACGAGAACAGCATGGAGAAAACCACCTCTATGATTCAATCATGTCCATCTGGTCCCGCCCTTGACACATGAGGATTATGGGAATTACAAGATTACACATTAATCTTAAATTACACATTAATAAGTGTGTAATGAAACATCCCCATTTTTTTATTTGAGTTCATTTCAATAGATATGGAAATAATGGAAAATGCATCTGACATCAAATTCCTGGGAAGTACAGGCAGAAAAAAAAAAAATCTTTAAAGGTATTTGAATAAGTAAATGTTGCAGCCAAACCATATCACTTGTTAAAAATGCACGTTAACCATTGAATCAAAACCATATGTAACCTTAGATAATTCAATTTCAACCAGATTATTCCTTTTATTCTTTAAATGATGGAGAACATTATAGCCATAGGCTCGTGCTGACAATTTTCCCTTAAATGAATGAAAAGATGAATTTATTTTTCTCAAAGAATTCTGTACCATTATAGGAATAAAAGATCAGCAGTTGTAACAGGGAATGTCCAAAAAGCCTGAAATAACATTGCTGTTAAGAATTAGCTGTTACAAAATTGCCCCAAGAAATCTCAGTGCTCCACAAACTTCACATGGTTGAAGGTCATAATTATTATAAAAGTTGAACTATGTTAATTCAGAGGTCACTGTCATTATTACTCTCAAGTATCCAAGAGCCATGAATAATCCAGAACATTGCGTACCTAATCAGGAATGGAGAAGTAATGTCCTTTTGAATTTTATACCTCTGGGGCTGCCCATAAAAATCTTAGGATTTTGAGCTCTTTGAGGGTCATGATTTTTACCTCTATTCTCTTTGTGTCCACAAACATCTAAGATATCAGTAATGTTATTCACTAATTTGCTGACAAAGAGGAAACTGAATAAAATTTAAATATATTTACTCTGAATATATGATCTTTAGAATAAACTAATTTTTCAGTGATTCATTCTGCACAATTTTAAATCTTTTTCGTAGTAACCTCAGTTTGCGTGACTTTAAATGGGAAAACTCACATTTTAAATGTATAATGAAACATTCTCATTTTTGATTTGAGTTCATTTCAATAGATATGGAAATAATAGAAAATGTCCCTGAGGTCAAATTCCTGGGAAGTAGAAGCAAAAAAATACCAGATCTTTAAAGGTATTTGAATAAGTAAATGTTGCAGTCTGTACTTTATCAGTTAGCTATGATGCAAAAAACAATGCATGGCAGTTGCTTGTCAATTTTGTGATTTATTCAGAAACATACATCTCTGCATACACTTACAGTTTTATACGGCAGTGCAAAATGTCAAAAGCACTGATGTTGCTCAAAGGAAATGTTAAGGAGCTAACTAAGGCTCGCTCCAAATTCCTTCACAAACCCGTCCAATCCTGTGAGATTCGAGTGGCCTTCACATCACAGCCTGCATCCTGACAGGCCCTGTGAGACCCATCCCGCTTCGTGGAACGTGAGTCAGCAGCTCAGGGAAGGACAAGGACATCTACATAATTGGCTTGAAATATTCAACTTTTCAAAATTTTATATTTTCATACATATAAATATATATTCTTAAAATGTATTTTTGTTTTTCTATCCGAACAGAAGTGCAATAATTCTTTAAAAATATTTCTAAACAGACCGGGGCAGTGGCTCACACCTGTAATCCCAGCACTTTGGGAGGCCGGTGCGGGCAGATCACGAGGTCAGGAGATTGAGACCATCCTGGCTAACACGGTGAAACCCCGTCTCTACTAAAAATACAAAAAATTATCCAGGCATGGTGGCGGGCACCTGTAGTCCCAGCTACTCCGGAGGCTGAGGCAGGAGAATGGCATGAACCTGGGAGGCGGAGCTTTCAGTGAGCTATCCCGCCAGTGCACTCCAGCCTGGGTGACAGAGCGAGACTCTGTCTCAAAAAAGAAAAAAAAAATTTGTAAACAAATGTTGATGAAAATAGGAAACTGAATACAATTACGAACAATGAATTTAATCATTAGTTTCTTCTGCTTTATACTATATGTGAATTTGGTCTAGAAAATACAACATAAAAGGAAATAAGTAGAAACCAAATGTTGAGCATTACTAAGGTAAAAATGTTGAATGGAATACTTTATTATTTATTTATGTATTTATGTATTTATTTGTTTGTTTATTAAGACATGGTTTTACCCTGTTGCCCAGGCTGGAGTGCAGTGGCATGACCATGGCTCACTACAGTCTTGAACTTTCATGCTCAAGCTATCCTCTGACCTTAGCCTCCTGAGTAGCTGGAACTACAGGTGAGTGCCACCATGCCTGGCTAATTAAAAATAATTTTTTTTTTTTGTAGAAACAGGCTCTCACTATATAGCCAGGGCTGGTCTCAAACTCCTGGGCTTAAGGGAGCCTCCTATCTTCATCTCCCAAATTACTGGGATTATAGATGTGAGTCATCAGGTGTCACCTGAATGATAAATTTTAATGATGTACCTAGCACATGAGTTTCAAAGTTTTCACTCTCCAAAAATTTTCATAAGGTCAGTTTAATTATTAATACCATGTTTTACAGTTATAGAATTAATGCATAAATACAGTAAAACAAAACAAAATGTGAAACTATAGAATTGTATGAAATAAAAAATAAGAATATTTCTTCTGTCTCTGTACATTTTCCATCTTTACCATGTTCAACATATCTTTATTACTATTATTATGAAAAATTTAAAGAATATACAAAAGGAAATAAATAGCATAATGAATGAATAGTATAATTAACTCATTGACCTAATACCCAGCTTCAGTTTTAGACAGTCCTGATTCCTCTGATCCCACTTCCCTGACATAGATTAATTGAAGAGCATTTCTGGCATCCTATCATTTCATCCATGAATATTTTAGTATCCACCTCCAAAGGGTAAGGATCCCCTTTTTAAAATAATACATCTAAAAAATTAGCCAGAATTACTTACTTTTAACCAAAATCCAGTCGCTGTTCCAATTTCCCTGATTGTCTTACTTTTTTTTTTTTTTTTGAGATAGAGTCTCGCCCTGTCACCCAGGCTGGAGTGCAGTGGCAAGATCTCGGCTCACTGCAACCCCCACCTCCTGGGCTCAAGCGATTCTTCTGCCTCAGCTTCCAATTAGCTGGGATTACAGGTGCCCACCACCATGCCTGGTTAACTTTTTGTATTTTTAGTAGAGACGGGGTTTCACCATATTGGCATGTTGGTCAGGCTTGGCCAGGATTGATCTCCTGACCTCAAGTGACCCACCCACCTCGGCCTCCCAAAGTGTTGGGATTACAGGTGTGAGCCACGCTGCCTGGCCAGTCTTACATATTTTTTCACACCATTTTTCTTTTTTTAAAAAAGCAGAATCCTTGTACGGATATTACGATGGATTGCAGAGTCTCTAAAGCATTCTTCATTCTTATTCTTCCCCTTCCATCTTTTTTTTTCCATGCAATTCATTAAAGAAACTAGGACAGAGTCCACAGTGTAGATTTTTATGATTGTGTTGTCACTGTGGTGTCATTTAACATGCTACTCTGACCTCAGTATTTTCTGTGAAACCCACGTGTCAGGGGTGTTGGGCAGATTTGTTTGCTTCTGGGTTTGTGTTTCCAACACAGACTCAGGACCTGGTAACAATCCCCTATAGCAGTTCGTAACCATTTGCTTGATTTTGACTGAACACCAGAGGGCAGTGCAGGTGGACACCAAGAGCATTGCTGTCAACACACAGAGGCCTGTGGGCACAGGGGTCCTGCACTGCGAGGCCAAAGCTCCCTTCTCTGCTCCCAAGCAATCCCTTTCCCTCCTCTGAAGGACAGCCACGTACTCTAGGTCCTAACCTCTGGAGTGCACTAATGACCAAGAGGTGCATGAGCACCAAATGTGAGAGGACAGGAGTCTGGAAACCTAGCACGGGAGTCTTCTCAAAACCTTAGGACATTCCTACTGTTGTGAGGGTAGGAGAAGAATGCCTAGCTAAGGAAACAAGTGTTTAGTGTCCAATGTGAGTAAGTGCCATGGGGAAGAATAAAGCAAGGAAGGGCAAGAAGATGCCCAGGGTGGACAAAGAAGCTCTCATTGATAAAGAGACATTAGAACACACATCTGAAGGTGGCGAGATAGTCAGCTTTTCAGATATCTGGAGCAAACTTGTTGCTCTAAGAGGAAAAAGCAGGTGCAAAGGCCCTGGGGCAGGAACATACTAGTTGTGTTTGAGGGGGCAAGCTGTTGTAACTGGAACAGAGAGAGAAGGGGGAAGATGGTAGTGAATGAAATCTGAAAAGGAACAGATTATGTACGATTTTTAGGCCATTATAAGGACTTTGGCTTTTACTCCTGTGAATCAGAAAGCTACGTGACTGGGGTGGGGTAGTGCTTTACTAAGAGGAGTGGTGCTCTCTGATAATTTTTAAAGGATCACTCTGGTTGCTGAGTTACAAATACATAGAATGTGTCAGCCGGGAGATCAATGGGGAGGCGATTGCAGTCATGTGGGGTGGCTGCTACAATCTATGTTAGAAACTTGCATGGTTCATGCTTTTTATTTTAGGCAAGTTCATCAGCATTTGCTTTTCAGATACTTAATGAATCTTTCAGTCTGTTTAGAGAATAAGGCATGTGTTGAAATGATCAGTACACAGTATTAGAAAATGGAAAGCCATGAGTATAATAACAGAGATACCTTTAGGGGCAAAGTGAAGTCAGGAGAGGAAGGGACTGCAGCCAGCTTGGCAGGTGAGCATGGCATAGGACACACCTTCCTTGAGATGGTCACAAATACAGTTTTATCTGTTTTCCTTGTGATGGTCACAAATGCAGTCTTATTAGCTTTCACAAATAAAACCTTACAAATGTTCACTAATAAAATGCTACAACATATCCTATACCATATGCCAATTTAAGATAGGTTTTACTCCAATGAGTTAGGTTATCTGTAAATAACACATGGTCAAATCCCATATGTCTGTGTAGCAAATACTTTCTCAGTGTCCTGTTGTTTTTAATCCAGCATGTTCCACCAGCCTGGTCTAGGCTAGGGCTGGCACCTAGATAGTCATTAGGGTAAGTGTGTGTTTGTTTTGGGGTGTGTGTGTGTGTGTGTGTCTGTGTGTGTGTGTAAGACTCATTGGCTCTACTCCAGGCCCCCTCTATCAAAATTTCTGGAGGTGGGAATCAAGTGTGATACTGATTTGGAAACCACCAATTCAGTTCACAGTCTTCTAGTCCAGTCTATAACAGCTGCCTTCATGACAAACTGAATGTTGAAAGCTGTGGAAGGTGCCAGTAAATAAAAATAGAGGTGGAGGGAAAGCCATTTCAGACAAAGGGGATAGAGCACTAAACAACATAGGAGTCAGACCGGATTGGTTTTGCAGTGACTTCTGATGGCCTATGTAAGTGTTCAATGACTGGATTTGCCTGGAATGTGGGGTTCAGGGTCCTTGGAAGAGAGTAGGTAGAAATAAGGTTTTGGAGTGTGTGAAATTAGATTGTGGAGGGCCTCACATGTTGAGCAAAGGATACTAAAGTTTATTTTCTAGGTAATAGGGAGCCAATCAAAATTTTTAAAATGAATGATGACACCACAGAACTATGGTTCAAGAACTCCACACATCTGACAGTCATGTGTAAAAATAGCTGTGGTGCTATGAGTCCAGAGATGAGAAAGTTTTCTGCATTCATTCAGGAGAGAGGGGGTTGGGTGCTTAAATAGGAATAGGCCACTGGGATGTGTAGGTTGGAATGAATGTGAGAGACAGAAGATGTGAACAGTAGAAGAGAAAGGACAAGGTCAAACATGGCACTGGGGTTTTAAATACAGGAAATTGGGAGGATGAACCAGCAGCCTAGCAAGATACAGAAGAAAAAAGAGATTTAGGAAAAACGTAGTATGGGTCAGCCAGATTTGGGGATGCCCATGCCATAATCAACTATAACCAATGGAAGATGATTTAACACAGTTGTAAGTATCTTGAAGCCAACGGTCTGTTTAGATGGGAAACAGTCTTTCATTTTCAAATTTAAAACTTTATTCTTAAAATGTGTACATTTAATCCAGAATAATCTATGGATATGTATTGAATAAATGTGTTCATTTTTAAATTTATATTTGATTTGTAGTGTCCCATTTCACTATAGTTTTCTGAAGAAATCTCAGTTGTTTATGCAAACTGTATCATAATAGTCAAGAATTTAAGAATACTTTCGTGTTCAAGGTCTTATCTCCAATTCTCCTCTTGTTTAACATGATTGCCTTTTGACCTACCTTCCATCTTAACATTAACATTATATTTTTTAATTATCCTGAATCAAATTTCGATTTAAGAAACTCCAAAAATAACAAAAATTGGAAACAGCCTATAACATTTTAGGAAATCAAGAAATATATTTAATTGTAACACCCAGTTTCATACTCCACAAGAGAAAAATAAAGCAAAGCCTGATCAAGACGTTCCTTTAACACAACTCAATCACCTTTGAGGCTTCATTCTTTACCAGTCTCTCTAGTCTCTGTGCCTATTTTCTACTCTCCCTGAGCAGAAATTTACGTGTCACATTTTGCCAAGGCCTCCATTACATGAGTAATGAGTGCTTACATATATTGATATCCCCTGATTTTCTGTTGGTTAAGTTTCCAGGAACATTCATTCTCTTGGGAGGAGTAGAGACTCAGGTAAAAGTCATGTCTCTTCATCTTCCATCCTTCAGAGATTACTGGTGGCCAGAACACCTATGTGGAAGAGTGGGTGTGGGAAGTGGGGTGTGTGGATAAAGAAACTCTGTTCGGGAGAGGCTCCCAGGGATCTGTGAGTCAGAGGAGTCACCTATCTTTAGGGTTGCACAAATCTAGCACCTTCTATGAAAACTGCATTCACCCAGAATGTGAAAAGAAAAAAGGGATGGCTGAGAACTTTTAAAATTCAGCAACAGACACCTGCCCACAAATCAAAGAAGCTCAGAGAACACCAGATCCTACTTTCCTACTGTCATAAATTAGGTAGTTATTTTATTAAAATAAAAGAAAGGGCCGGGCGCGGTGGCTCACGCTTGTAATCCCAGACTTTGGGAGGCTGAGGTGGGCGGATCACGAGGTCAGAAGATCGAGACCATCCTGGCTAACACGGTGAAACCTCGTCTCTACTAAAAATACAAAAAATTAGCTGAGCGTGGAGGCGGGCGCCTGTAGTCCCAGCTGCTGGGGAGGCTGAGGCAGGAGAATGGCGTGAACCCGGGAGGCGGAGCTTTTAGTGAGCCGAGATCGCGCCACTGCACTCCAGCCTGGGCGACAGAGCGAGACTCCGTCTCAAAAAAAAAAAAAAAAATTGAGCGGATAATAGAGTCCCACAAACAATCTCCATTTCCCCCCACAGTTCCTCCATTATAAATATCTTGCATTAATGTGGCACATTTATTACAATAGATGAGCCAATATTTATTTATACCATCAATTTATACTAACGTCCCCGCTTTGCTTTGTATAGTTCTATGAGTTCTGACAAATGTATATCGTCTATCCACTATTACAGTATTACGCAGAATAGTTTCACTGATTTAAAAATCCCCTGTGATTCAGCTTTTCATCCTTCTTCTGCTCTCCTCAAGGCCCTTGCAACCACTGATCTTACCGCCTCTAAAGTTTTGCCTTTGCCAGAATGTCATATGGCTGGAATCATACAGTATGTGGCTTTTTCAGACTGGTTTCTTTCACTTAGCAATATGTACTTAAGGTTCCCCTTGTCTTTTTGTGGCTTCACAGCTCAATACCTTTTTATTGCTAAATAATATTCCAATGTATAAGTGTACCATAGTTTGTTTATCCATTTACCTATTGGATATGTTGGTTGCATCTGGTTTTTGATGATATGAATAAAGCTTCTATAAATAGTCATGTTCAGGTTTTTGTGTGAACGTAAGTTTTCAATTCAATTGGGCAAATACCTGGGGGCATGACTGCTGGATTATATAGCATGTTTAGTTTTTAAGAAACTGCCAAACTGTCTTCCCATGTGACTGCACCATTTTGCGTTCCCACTAGTAATGAAAGAGTTTTGGTTGCTTTGCATCCTTGCCAGCATACAGCACTGTCAGTTTTTTGGAGTTTAGTCATGCTAATAGTTGTATAGAGGTATCTCATTGTTGTTGTTTTAATTTGCAATTCCTTTTTAAATAATTTCAACTTTTATTTTAGATTCAGGGGGTTCATGTGCAGGTCTGTTACCTGGGTATATTGTGTGATACTGAGGTTTGAGGTATGATTGCTCCCATCACCCAGGTACTGCCCATAGTACCTAATGGTTTTTCAACCCTTCCCTCATCTACTCCCCGCCAGTAGTCCCCAGTGTCAGTTGTTGCCATCTTTATGTCCCTAAGTACCCAGTGTTTAGCTCCCAGTTATAAGTGAAAACATGCAGTAGTTATTTTTCTGTTCCTGTGTTAATTTGCTTAGGATAATGGCCTCCGGCTGCATCCATGTTGCAATTCCTTGATGATCTATGATATTGAGCATCTTTTCGTCTGCTTATTTGCCCTTCGTGTATCTTTAGTGAGGTGTCCAGATTTTGCCCACTTTTTAACTAGTTTTTTTTTCCTATTGTTGTGTTTTCAGTGTTTTTTGTATATGTTGGATATATTGATATATTTTTTGCATATATGTATATGTCGGTGTATTTTAGTGATGTAAAATGAATGGAATCTATAGCCTTAAACATAATATAAATATATAATGGTTAAGATTTCCCACTCAACAATCCAGGCTTGACAGAAAATCATAAAATGTATTTAAATTTAAATGTTTTTTTCTTTGTTGATACTAGTTCTTAGTTTTAACATGCCGAAGAGGGTATATTTGATCAAGGACAAGATTAAATGTTCTGACTGGCTAACTATCAAACCGCTGCCTCCACTTTTTTTTGCAACTTGAAAATATTTAGCTATCATGCTAGCACAGCCATATTAATATATACCCCTTCAAAACTTTAAATATAAGGCTTTAACAGTTTCAGGAAAAAGAAATATTAATGATGCTGAGATTGGTGGCCATGGATTCTGTGTAGTGAGACACTAAAAAGTAATTTTTCAAACAGGAAAGTTAAAGCACTTTAAAATCACAAAGCTATTGGTAATTAAAAAAAGAATTAGTATCAACTTCTGAAATACAAGATTAGAGGGACACCTAAAATTCTGAAAGACTTTAGAGAATTTTTTTAAAAAGTAATTGCAATTTAGATCAAAGTTCCCCACTTTTCATTCCAAGTGTGACACAGGTTTAAATAATAAACAGACAAAAAGTTTAGATAAATTCATGAATTATTGAACCAGACGATAAAAAATAGGGAAGCTATTTAGGGCATAGTCTCTAGTGTGTAAGGGTGACATCCTAAATAATAAATTTATGCTATTGTTGACAATATTGCTAACAAGGCAAAATGGTCAATGTGCTTGACATATTGCCTGGTTTTTCATGTTCTATTGCATGAGCTGATTCTCTCTCTCTTTTTCATTTATATTTTTGAACTCTGTCATTATGTTATCATGGACATTATGTCAACAATTGGATGCATCTATGTAATATGCTTTAAATCTCTGGGAATAAATTTACTGAGTGCTATTTATGTGAACAAACTTCTCTTAAGCACAAATGGAAATCCACAAAGAAAGACAGCCTCTTCTATTTGTTTTATATGAGGCAACGGATACACTGTAGACAAAAAAACCAAGTATAATTAACTTATATTGGTAACTAACTTAATATCTGCATATTACATATTTTTCTATTATGTTTTCTGAGCAACTTCGTGGCTTCTGATTTGGAGGGGTAGGATTTCATAGTTAATAATTTTTTTTTTTTTTTTTTTTTGGTGAGATAGAGTCTAGCTCTTGTTGTCCAGGCTGGAGTGCAATGGTGAAATCTCGGCTCACTGCAACCTCCGCCTCCCAGGTTCAAATGATTCTCCTGACTCAGCCTCCTGAGTAACTGGGATTACAGACACCCACCATCATGCCTGGCTAATTTTTGTATTTTTAGTAGAGATGGGGTTTCACCATATTTGCCAGGCTGGTCTTGAACTCCTGACCTCAGGTGATCCGCCCGCGTTGGCCTCCCAACGTGCTGGGATTACAGGCGTGAGCCACTGCGCCCAGCCCATATTTAACACTTCTATAAATATTTGTGCATATTGAAAGGAACATCACTCCCCACACTGCAACTGAACAAAAGAGTGATAATGTTAATTTCTTTATTCTTGAGCTTTTCTTGAATAAAAGAGGGTCGTAGGACATGGAACAAAATAGACTAGAAAATAGGGTCGATAAGGTACTGATTCTGCCAACACTGCTTAATGCTCTCCCCAAGCAATTGTCTTTTAGATATGTTGATTTCCCAGTGTGAATGGTATTTTTTAAATATGTCAAGCAATTAAGAATATAAGTCTGTTCTCATCTCAGCCAAATGTAGAATCTTTACGAAGAATTTTTGGTATCCTTAACCCTAATATGTGGAGGGATAAGATTAAAAATGTTCACCACCTTATTTTTATTTATTTATTTAACTATTATTTTGAGACAGAGCCTCACTCCACCCAGAGTGGAGTGCTGTGGTGTGACCTCGGCTCATTGCAACCTCTGCCTCCCAAGTTCAAGTGATTCTCCTGCCTCAGCCTCTCAAGTAGCTAGAATTATAGGAATTCACCACCATGCCCAACTAATTTTTTTTTTTTTTTTTTGGTGAGACAGAGTCTCACTCTGTTGCCTAGGCTAGAGGGCAGTGGCACCGTTTTGGCTCACTGCAGCCTCTGCCTTCTGGGTTCAAGCAATTCTCCTGCCTCAGCCTCCTGAGTAGCTGGGATTACAGGCACCCGCCACCACACCCGGATAATTTTTTGTATTTTTAGTAGAAACGGGGTTTCGCCATGTTGGCCAGGTTAGTATTGAACTCCTGACCTCAAGTGATCTGCCTGACTCGGCCTCCTAAAGTGCTGGGATTACAGGTGTGAGCTACCACATCCAGCCATCACCTCTTGTAAAGTGCAGTATAGAAACAGTGGGTAATAGACAGGCAGGGGATAGAGGAAAATGTTTTGGGAGTGGGACAATATGAACTTATTGTCATGACAGGACCAAAAAGGGAAGATGTCTGCCTATCATAATTAATAATAACTCTATCAGTCAACATTTATGTTTTACAATTGTTCTGTAAAAGAAAAGCCAGCAAACATTACAGATTCTAGTCCCTAATAACTGATCAAGAAAGACACTCTAAGCTTGTGCATCAGCATTCTCTTTTTATCTAAAAGAAAATATATTAAATAAAGGGAGGAATGGCAGGAGTAAAGAGACTTGAAGGAAAAGAAAATATTGACTTTTTAATGATATTTTACAATGCTAAGATCTTTAGAAACCAACTATTCCATATGTCTTTTAAATATTAGTTTGGTGCAAAGGTAATTACAGTTTTTGTCATATAAGTAATGGCAAAAGCCACAATTACTCTTGCACCGACCTAACTGATACATTCATTCCATTTTGGAGGTATTGCAAATATGCTGAATCAATGAACTTCTTCAGTATTTTTCATTGTATTCGTACAAATTTAACCTAATAGTATTCTTCTGCATGTTATTTCCCTTTGTGCTTCCTTTAATGCAATGAAGCTGTAGTTACCAAATAGAGTGCTCTAAAAGGGCAAGGCTTGTCTGTGAATTGAGCCTAGCATAAAATTGGCTCTCAGTGAAGACCTGTTGAACATTTCATGAATGCATCAACATCATAATCCTTCATGTGCTTGTAAGCAATTATTAAAATTTTATCTGGCCTATTCAGGCCTGTGTTCTTCAAAATTCTTCAAAATATATGGACGTGTCTGCTCTTTCTATTAGGTTTTAACTTCTGGTGTCAGAAACCAGGGCTGTTTTTCTTAATTTGTGTCCTAAAACCACAGTAGGGTTGTATGCACAGTAGGGTTGTGATAATGCTTAATAAATATATAAAAAGATTAATATCCATTCATTTACATTTTCTTAATAAAACCCAATTTCTGGATGAGTAGCTGTGAAACTCAACTGGACGAGCTCTGACTAGTGTTAAGTATAGTATATTGGGAAAAGGGCTTCTGTATGCAACATATATGTGAGGCAAATGAGAAATATTAGCTAGGCTACATTAAATCCCAATGACATGAATAGAAATTTTATTATCCAGGTAGCAAAAATGAAGTCAAAAAAATAAATAAGAGAATGAAGTGAAGGTATGGGGCAAAACAATTAGTTTTTTCTTTAAGTCAATATTTTAGAAGATAGCTTTTGAAGGCCCAATCACACAGATAATTGACACTTCGACTTTTCTTTGCACTGTGTTAGACTTAGGTAAAAGAATGTCTCAGGACTGTACCTTCATGTAGAAAATGTAATTAATAGCAAATTGCATAAAAGTACACTAAAATTTTTACATCATTTTAATAAATTTCTTGAGATTTTACTTTATTGTGTCATTAAAACACAGGATTTAAGGAAGATATATATAATAAAGGAAAATAGTAAGTTATCATTCTTGTGTAAACATGTTTTGTAAATACTATTTCAACAAAGATTTAAAAGTTAATTACAAAGATATAAAGTTATGAAGTATTATATAAACAGGATTCATAATTTTGTTTTAAATGGTCTTTTCATGTATCAAAATACTATCAGTTTAAAACAATCTTTTTTTTTTAAGGCAGTAGGCTCTGTTTACCATCATTTACAATTACTTTAATTAGAATTTTCTTCACTTTCAGTATATTCAAGAGCTATTCTGTTGGCAATAATTTTTAAGATAAAGTTTATCCAAATAGAAAAGTAATTATATAATGATTAAGAGCCAGAATGTCTGGGTTCAAATTCCAGTTCTGCTACTTATCAGGTATAAGAATTTGGACAAATGTCTTAGTTTCTCTGTGCTTCAGTTTCCTGATCTGTAAAACTGGGATAACAAGACTACCTGCCTCAATCTGTGGTTATGAGTAAATGAGTTAATACATAAGAGCAATGCAATAATCCTTGGCATGTGGTATGAGTTCAATAAACATTAGCTATTATTATTATAGTAAATTAGAAATTTAATTCTAGAGAATAAAAAGCTGAACTCAAATATGTAACTATTTATTTGATACAGACATATTTTCTACAAAATAAAAAACCGTCAGTTTGCACTTCCCTTATATAATGACTATTCTGGTGTTTGTGTGTATCTGTTGTGGGTCGGGGTCTTGGGCTGAGTAAATAATCACATTAAAAATTTTAAAAACTTCCGATTAAAACAGAAATAAGAACAAACGGCCATTCGTGGATCATTTGCAAAGCTGAACGAATACTTGACATGTCTTTCTGTGATTCCTTGCAGATATCATGGAAATCAGGACAGTAGCAGTTGGGATTGTGGCAATCAAAGGGGTGGAAAGTGAATTCTATCTTGCAACGAACGAGGAAGGAAAACTCTATGCAAAGGTATTGATAATTGATAGCTTAGGCTTAATTTTTAAAACTCTTTTGTTGAAATATCTCACCATTCTGAAAAGTAAAAATGGACTTAATTTATCTCCAACTGTATAATTTAATGATTTTATTAAAACACTTTATACTCAAACATTAAGAAAAAATGTTTTCTGTGTGACTTTGGACAAATGGCTTGTTCTTTGGATTTTGGTTTCTTCATCTGTAAAATGAGTTGAATTAGCTGACCTCTAAGGATCCTGCCAGCTCTAAAATTCCATGTGCATTTTAGATATTTAAAATCCAAAATTTCCATTTGCCAGTATTAAAGCTCTTTTTGTTAAAGTTCACTCAATTTGCACATTGCTGACATGAGAATTCTTGGGAAAAAATCTTGAAATGTTTAGTTCATTCATCAATATCAATCTGACAATCATGGGCTTTGAACTGTAATTATTCACATTGTTCCCACTTCACTACAATGCAAAATATGTAACAGTTCATCTCACTGTAATAAAATATAATTGGCTTTCCTTTATATTCCCACAGCTCAGCATAATGCCTGGAACAGGCTAATTGTATAATGATACAGGTTTAACTGAATGAACAAATGGTTGCATGGATGAACAAACAAATTAACCTTTTATCTTCCATTACCATTGAAGACAATGTAGAAGTAAATAAAGAAAAGTTGTGAAACAAGTCTCTCACCTGAGGGAGGCAGAGGTTCTGCTAATTATAGCAAATTTCCAGTGGTTAAAGAATGAGTGATGTGGGAATAGTAATATGAGGCCTGTTACTTAGGGGGAAATAGGTCCTAATTTTAAAGAATAGTTGACATGAACTTCCAAAAAGCTACACATATTTCATAACTAGCTGTGTATTATGTGGTGTTTCTATTTCAAATTTAAGATACCTTTTAATGCAAATATACTACATAAGTCTAGCTAATAAACCACATTAGGCCTGCTCAATCTGAGGGTTAAAAAAAGTTGTGTATGTTTCAATTCTACCAAATATTACCTGCTTACTCTTCGTTTAATTGAGCCTCTCTCAAAATCATTTGGATCATGTTTGTTTGTTTGTTTGTTTGTTTGTTTCAACAGAAGGAATGCAATGAAGATTGTAACTTCAAAGATCTAATTCTGGAAAACCATTACAACACATATGCAGCAGCTAAATGGACAAACAACGGAGGGGAAATGTTTGTGGCCTTAAATCAAAAGGGGATTCCTGTAAGAGGAAAAAAAACAAAGAAAGAACAAAAAACAGCCCACTTTCTTCCTATGGCAATAACTTAATTGCATATGGTATATAAAGAACCAGTTCCAGCAGGGAGATTTCTTTAAGTGGACTGTTTTCTTTCTTCTCAAAATTTTCTTTCCTTTTATTTTCTAGTAATCAAGAAAGGCTGGAAAACTACTGAAAAACTGATCAAGCTGGACTTGCGCATTTATGTTTGTTTTAAGACACTGCATTAAAGAGACATTTGAAAAGTATACACAAAAATCAGATTTAGTAACTAAAGGTTGTACAAAATTGTAAAACTGGTTGTACAATCATGATGTTAGTAATAGTAATTTTTTTCTTAAATTAATTTACCCTTAAGAGTATGTTAGATTTGATTATCTGATAATGATTATTTAAATATTCCTATCTGCTTATAAAATGGCTGCTATAATAATAATAATGCAGATGATGTTATATAAGGTATATCAGACCTACAGGCTGCTGGCAGGATTTGTCAGATAATCAAGCCACACTAACTATGGAAAATGAGCAGCATTTTAAATGCTTTCTAGTGAAAAATTATAATCTACTTAAACTCTAATCAGAAAAAAAGAATATTCTCAAAAAAATCTATTATGAAAGTCAATAAAATAGATAATTTAACAAAAGTACAGGATTAGAACATGCTTATACCTATTAACAAGAACAAAATTTCTAATGCTGCTCAAGTGGAAAGGGTATTGCTAAAAGGATGTTTCCAAAAATCTTGTATATAAGATAGCAACAGTGATTGATGATAATACTGTACTTCATCTTACTTGCCACTAAATAACATTTTATAATTCCTCAAAGTAAAATTGAGAAATCTTTAAGTTTTTTTCAAGTAACATAATCTATCTTTGTATAATTCATATTTGGGAATATGGCTTTTAATAATGTTCTTCCCACAAATAATCACGCTTTTTTCCTATGGTTACTGCATTAAACTCTATATTAAGTTGTTTTTGAACTTATTGTTTTGTTATTTAAGTTTATGTTATTTATAAAAAAAACCTTAATAAGCTGTATCTGTTTCATATGCTTTTAATTTTAAAGGAATAACAAAACTGTCTGGCTCAACTGCAAGTTTCCCTCCCCTTTGTGACTGACACTAAGCTAGCACACAGCACTTGGGCCAGCAAATCCTGGAAGGCAGACAAAAATGAGGGCCTGAAGCAATGCTTACAATAGATGTCTCACACAGAACAATACAAACATGTAAAAAATCTTTCACCACATATTCTTGCCAATTAATTGGATCATATAAGTAAAATCATTACAAATATAAGTATTTACAGGATTTTAAAGTTAGAATATATTTGAATGCATGGGTAGAAAAGTATCATATTTTAAAACTATGTATATTTAAATTTAGTAATTTTCTAATCTCTAGAAATCTCTCCTGTTCAAAAGGTGGCAGCACTGAAAGTTGTTTTCCTGTTAGATGGCAAGAGCACAATGCCCAAAATAGAAGATACAGTTAGGAATAAGGGGCCCTGAATGTTATGAAGGTTTGAGGTCAGCCTACAGATAACAGGATTATTACAAAGATGAATTTCCACTTCCAAAGTCTGTCATTGGCAGATCTTGGTAGCACTTTATATGTTTACCAATGGGAGGTCAACATCTATCTAATTTAAAAGCTATGCTAACCATTGTGGTTTTAATTTCAAAATATTTGTCATACAAGTCCCTTTACATAAATAGTATTTGGTAATACATTTATAGATGAGAGTTATATGAAAAGGCTAGGTCACCAAAACAATAGATTCATTTAATTTTCCTGTGGTTGACCTATACGACCAGGATGTAGAAAACTAGAAAGAACTGCCCTTCCTCAGATATACTCTTGGGAGAGAGCACGAATGGTATTCTGAACTATCACCTGATTCAAGGACTTTGCTAGCTAGGTTTTGAGGTCAGGCTTCAGTAACTGTAGTCTTGTGAGCATATTGAGGGCAGAGGAGGACTTAGTTTTTCGTATGTGTTTCCTTAGTGCCTAGCAGACTATCTGTTCATAATCAGTTTTCAGTGTGAATTCATTGAATGTTTATAGACAAAAGAAAATACATAATAAAACTAATCTTCATTTTAAAAGGGTAAAACATGACTACACAGAAATTTAAATAGAAATAGTGTATATACATATAAAATACAAGCTATGTTAGGACCAAATCTCTTTGTCTATGGAGTTATACTTCCATCAAATTACATAGCAATGCTGAATTAGGCAAAACCAATATTTAGTGGTAAATCCATTCCTGGTAGTATAAGTCACCTAAAAAAGATTTCTAGAAATATGTACTTTAATTATTTGTTTTTCTCCTATTTTTAAATTTATTATGCAAATTTTAGAAAATAAAATTTGCTCTAGTTACACACACTTAGAATTCTAGAATCTTAAAACTGTAAGGGGCCTCCATCCCTTTTACTCATTTGTAGTCTAGGAAATCAAGATTTTGATACACCTCAGGTCATGCAGCTGGGTAGATATACAACTGTCACAAGAGTCTAGATCAGTTGGCACATGCTTTCTATACTAGATTATTAGTATTATTAGCTAATGGTCTTCTGCATTTTTTGGTTTTTGATTTGTATTGAGATATAGCCTTTACATTTCTACACAAATGTGACTATGTATTGGCAATGCACTTCATACACAATGACTAATCTATACTGTGATGATTTGACTCAAAAGGAGAAAAGAAATTACGTAGTTTTCAATTCTGATTCCTATTCACCTTTTGTTTATGAATGGAAAGCTTTGTGCAAAATATACATATAAGCAGAGTAAGCCTTTTAAAAAATTTTCTTTGAAAGATAAAATACATGAGTTTCTAACAATTAGAAAGGAAAAAATTAAAATATGAAATAACAAAAGTAAACAAAAGATACTTTCAAAGCAGTGAACAAAACATTTTGACATAAGCCGTAATATAAATTATAATATAAAAACATAAAAACCATAGTATAAATTGTCAGTCTTTGAGTTGGCCACAAATTCAATTTAATGAAAGAAGAGAAGGGATGCTGGAGGTAAATAAATTCTTAGAGTTTCTATCTCATAGAGTTTGCTCTTCTGGTTCTCTAGACTGCCAAAGAACATAAAGATGTACAAGGGGACCTAGCTGTAGTAAAAGCATACCTATAACAACAAAAACTCTAAAACGGTGCCCCTCACGATTTTCTACTGAAATTTCTCTAATAGTAGAGGTATAAAATAAGAAGTTAGAGAATAATACAAAAGGGGCCCACCATAGAAAGCACATTTCTTTTCTCTTAAGACTCATGTGATTTTTGCATCTTACTCCATAATGTATTAGTGGTTGCATTAATATGACAATGTCTGCAATTAAACACCAGTAAGCAAAATTGATACATCAGAATGACTTGCAGGGCTTATCACGCAGTTTCATTTACATCCCTACCCCACTGCCATTTACTTGAGCGTGAATGACACACGAGAGATTCTTTGCCTTCCATAATCCAACTTTACACATAAATAACACAAGGCTAAAGAAAACCAGAACTCAAATTCACCATGCATAGGAGTGATAACAAAAATATTTAACAGTCAGTATGGGTGATCACTGGCCAATCAAAATACATCACTGATATATCAAAATGGATGCAGGCCACTGTGACTAACTTGTGGATATCATTTCTATGATCACCCTAAAACAGAGTTGGGAAAATATCAATTAACTGGACTCTCTGGTTTGAATTCTCAATATGTATCTTAATATGAAATAGCTCATTAAAACTTCATGTGTAACTATTTCAGCATTGTTGTCAGCTACTCTTTATTCCACTTCTATACAGATCATGTCATCTTCAAATAGAGACACTTTCACTTCTTTTCCAATTTGGATGCCTTTTATTTCTTTTTCTTACCTAATTGCTCTGGCTAGGACTTACAGACTTTTTCAGAAACCCCCCAAAGTAATCTAGGGGAGTCCACTGTCACTAGATCTGCTTTATAAGAAACCCTAAAGGGAGTTCCTCAAACTGAAATGCAATAAGACTAATTAGTATCATGAAACCATATGTAGTTATAAAAAGTCACTGGTAAAAGTAACTGTACAGTCAAATTCAAAATACTCCTAATACTGTAATGATGGAGTATAATCACTTTAACTTTTAAAAGGTTAAAAGACAAAAAATACTACAAATAAATATAATTACAAAATATACAAAGAAAGAAACTCTGACATCAAAAAACATAAGTGGAGGGGAGTAAAGTGTAGGGTTTTTGTATATGATTGAAGTTAAGTTGTTATCAACTTAAAATAGACCATTATAACTACAATCATGCATTTCTTAATGCGGACATGTCCTGAATAATGCAATTTTGTCATGGTGTGAATATCATAGAGTATACTTACACAAAATTAGATAATACCACCTAACACACACCCGGGCTATTTGGTATAACCTATTGTTTCCAGGCTACAAATCTGTACAGCATTGTACTATACTGAATGCTATAGGCAACTGTAATACAATCATAAGCATTTGTGTATCTAATGTATCTAAACATATGAAAGGTACAATAAAAATCTTATAACCTTATGGGACCACCGTTGTATATGTGGCCCATCATTGACCAAAACATCCTTGTGTGGCACACGATAGCATACAATGTTTTATGTAAGCCTCATGATAAACACAAAGACAAAACATGTAACAGATACACAAATGAGAATTTTACCACATGTTTAAAAAAGAATTAATACAAAGGCACAGCAAAGAATCAAAGTATACCACTACAGAAAATAATCAACGTAATCAAATCATGCACAGCAAGAGAGAAATAAAAGAACAAAAAAACTACAAAATGCCTATCAATAGTTACTTTAAATATCAGTGGACCAAATTAGTGAAACAAAAGACACAGAGTGGCTGAATGGATAGTAAAACAAGAACCAAATATATGCCACCTATAAGAGACTCACTTCACCTTTAGAGACACACATAGACTGAAAGAGAGGGAACAAAAAAAGACAGAGTAGCTATTCTTACAACAAACAAAATAGACTTTAAGTCAAAAACTGTAACAAGAGACAAAGTCATTATAGAATGATACAAGGGTCAATTCATTGAGAGGATATAACTACTGCAAATATATATTCTCCCAACATTGGAGCACCTAATTATATAAAGCAAATATTAACAAATCTGAAGAGAGAAGTAGACAACAATAATACAATAACAGTAGGGGACTTCCATGTCCCACTTTCAACAATGGATTGATCACTCAGACAGATAATCAGTAAGGAAACAGCTGACTTGAACTACACTATAGATCAAATGGACCAGACATATACATGACATTCCTTTCCAAAACAGCAAAATACACATTCTTCTCGAGCATACACAGTACATTCTCCAACATAGGTCATATATTAGGCCAGAAAACAAGTCTTAGCAAATTTAAGAAGATTGAGATCTCACCAAGTATTCTTTTTGACTACAGTGGCATGAAACTGAAAATTAAAAACAGGAGAAAACTTAGAAAAGTGACAAATATGTGGAAATCAACCAACACACTCCTGAATAACCAGTAGATCAAAGAAAACATCAAAAAAGAAATAAAATATCTTGAGACAAACTAAAATGAAAGCACGACATACTAAAACTGATGAGATGAAGCAAAAGCCGTTCTAAGAGAGGGAAGTTTATACAGATAAGTGCTAAATGAAGAAAAAAGATCTCAAATAAACCTCAAAAAATAGAGAAAAAAAATCAAGCCCAAAATTAGAAGAAGGAAATAACAAAGATCATAGCAGAAATAAATGAAATAGACTAGAAAAACAATAGCAAAGATCAATGAAACGAAGAGCTGATTTTTTGAAAAGATAATAAAAATTGACCAACCTATCACTAGGCTAAGAAAAAAGAAATCTTAAGTAAATAAAATTAGAACAAAAAAGGAGATATTAAAATTGGTACCATAGAAATACAAAGGATAATAATAGTCTACTCTAAACAACTATGTGTCAACAAATTGTTTAACTTAGAATAATTTCTAGAAACATACATCCACTAAGACTGAAACATGAAGAAATAGAAAATAAAAACAGATAAATAATGAGTAAAAATATTGAGTCAGTAGTCAAAAAGCTCCTGAAAAAGGAAAATCCAAGACCAGATAGCTTAGTGGAGAATTCTACCAAATGTTTAAAGAAGAATTAATACCATTTCTTCACAAACTCTTCCAAAAGTTGAAGAGGAGGGAACACTTCCAAACATTTTTTATGAGGCCAGCATTACCCTGATAACAAGGACAGAAAAGGACACTACAAGGATGACAGAGATTTTTAAGGTACAAATGATGTATTGTTGGAATTGAAAATACAGGCTTTGTTAGTACAAAGATTTGTGTGTGGATAGGTGGATGTGTACTGGTGTGTGCATGCATACATATACAAGCTTACCTTGTTTTATTACACTTCACATTATTATGCTTCTCGGATATTGCAGTTTGTACAGGTTGAAGGTTTGTGGCAACCCTGCACCAAGCAAGTCTACCAGTGCCACTTTTCTGGTAGCATGTGCTTATTTTGCACCTCTGTGTTACATTTTTGTAATTCTTGCAATATTTCAAATGTTTTGTTATTATTATATCTGTTATGGTGATCTGTTATCAGTGATCGTTGATATTACTATTGTCATTGTTTTGGGGCATCACAAGCCATGCTCCAAAAGACAATGAGCTTAATTGATACATATGTGTATTCGAATGGTTCCATCGATCTGCCCTTCCTCCATCTCACCCTCTCCTCAGGTCTGTTTTCTGAGACACAGCAATATTGAAATTAGGCCAATTAATAACTCTATAAAGGCCTCTATGTGTTCAAGTGAAAGTAAGAGTCACACATCTCTTATTATAAATCTAAAGTGAGAAATGATTAAGCTGAGTGAGGAAGGTATGTTAAAAGCCGAGACAGGCCAAAAGGCCCAGGCTGGTCTCAAACTCCTGACCTCAAGCAATCCACCTGCCGCAGCCTCCCCAGGTAGCTGAGATTAAAGGCATGAGCCACCATGTCCAGCTTCTATGCATTATTTTAAATGGAGTATTGAAGACTCTGTTACTGTAGAACTATTTCTAACTTCAATTCTGTCAATATTTGGGTCACAGGCCTTAATGTGATTACACGCTGGTCTGATGCTCATGGCCAGGACATTTTGTTTTCCTGTTGGACATAAACAATCTCACAGAATATCAACTTCAGAAGGTTAATCTGAGACCGTGATAAGTGCAAACAAAAACAAGGGCACTTTATAATGTTGTCTAAGTGCAGATAAAAAACAAGGTCTTGATGTCACCCACAAAATACTTAATAATCATATTGCTCCTGCTTTCTGACAGCATCCAATCTAAAGTCTTCACTTTCTGAGATCCTGTCCGAAATCAACCAATTAAAGCCCAAATCGTATAATAGTTTCTCTCTAACTCCTCCCACTGAGATGACCCATAGTACCCCATTCCTTGCTGCAATGTAATTATATTTAATTACAAGTGTGCCCCTGGTAGTCTTTAACTGAAGGGCACTGACTGGGTCACTGGTGAAGTTCCCCGCAGGAACTGAGTCAGACCCCATCTCAGGGCCCTGCACAAGATAGGTGCCTGCTCTAAGGCGTGGACCCTCGCCACAGCCCTGGCCCGTCTTGACGGGCGAGGGTTACTGTACTTGTCCCAACCGTACAGATGAGAAAGCTGAGACTCAGGGCCAGCAACCCGGGTCCCAGCGGAGCGCCCGGCACACGCCGACACTTCAGCACCAGTGGCGGTGGCCACCACTGTGGGCGGAGATGGCTGCGACGCGTGCGCAGGTAAAGTCTATGCGCGCCTTGCCTCCCACCGGCGCCTTCCCCGGCCTCTGGTTTTTGTCCCCGCCAGCGGCTCCGACTCCATCGCGTCCTCTTCCAGTCTAGTGCTTTTTTCCAGATCTCGATCCCAAACTCCCTCCTGCCAGAATCTGGACCCGAATCCACCCATTGCCCGTTTTCCGCTGCCGCTGGAGAGAATCTCTGAGGTCCCCAGGAGAGCCTGCCTGCACGGAAGAGACGCCTCCTCGGTATGGCCGCCCCCGGAGAGGAGCGATTAAGTGCAGACCTCCTTGTTGCTCTTGAGCCTGAGCGGCTTCAGGGAGCCATGTTTGTTACTGGCGGGCGCCGACCTCACTGAGCATGTGCAGCCCTGGCCGGGCGGCCTCAAAGTTCTGACATCACAGGGCGGTTCCTGAAGTGGACGTAGTTGTAAGAGCTAGTTATTTTAGACAATGCCTCTGGGATCAGGGACTCTAATCTGGAAATAGGTAGTCGGAGAGGTCGGTGATGCAGTCTCTGGATCAGAGACCTGAGCTATATGGGGTTAGAGAGGGGCCCTGGGCAGGCGAGTCTCTGGGGAGTGTGGTGAGAATCCTTGTGTAAGATGCTGGGAGGAGGTGGGGTCAGGGCTGGGGTCCGTGGGCCGACGGGTTGGGGGATGGCCAGCGTCAGGGATCAGTAGTAGAGATTCTATGTGCCCTGATCGCCAGTGGAGGTTTTAAATACAGAGTATTCATGAGTTTAGCAATGTTTTTCGCCTCTCATTATTTAAATAATTTGAAGTTTTCCCCAATAACTAGTGTCTTAGAAGTCATGAAAATTTCAGAAAATGACAGGTCTTCTGAGTTCGTGATGGGAGTTGGGCAGCAGTCGCATACGAGCACCTGGAGAGTCCTTGCCAGTTCTTTGGGGATGGGGAGCTCTTAAGACTGCCCTGAGACCGCCCTTTGACCTCATTGTGGTCCTTTCTAGATTAAATGCTGTTTTCCATGACCGTCTCTGTTCTTCCCATACGGGAATGGCAGGCATTCAGATCTCCAAGAATAGAGGATTAGGAGAGACTCCACCACCTATGTCCTCACAGTTAATTATCGATTTGTGTCAGTTGCCCATTTTCTCACTTCCTGTTTGTGTGTCAAGGGGTATTAATAAATCTTTGCCTATTTAAAGATATTAGCCTTGGATTTTCAAATATTGCATATTTTGACATGTAAAAATTTGTTAGTTTTATTTTTTCAACCGATCTGACCTGTATAGTTGGGCTTGAGGAAGCTTCCTCATTCTACATGTTACTATGGATTTTCTAATATTAACACAGGGTTGTATTTTTTCCATATAACTTTCTATTGAATTTCTTTTTCCATATGATAGGTGGTGAAGGTTTAGCCCAGTAAAGCAGAGAGGTTAAGAGGTTAGATTGGGGGCTCTGGAGCCAGACCTGTGTAGATCTGAGTCGTGGCTCTGGCACTTGAAAGCCGTGTGACCTTGGTTAAGATACTTAGTCCCTCTCTGCCAAATGGAGAAATAAGGGCACCTACCCCATAGGGTAGTTGTGTGATTACACAAGTTAATACACTTCAATCAGTAGCAAGAAAGTGAATGTCAAGCTGTATTTGTTCAGGCAGCCATATGGTAGCCCCACGTCCTTAGTAAACTGAGGTATTGAAGTATCTTCTTTTTCTTTCAGAAAATATTTGTCAAGCACCTTCTGTGTTCAAAGAACTGTTCTAGAGCTTTGCATGCTATGGAGGTCTAGAAATTCACATTATGGTGGCAGGTGACAGACAATACAAAGAGATAAAGCAATTTCATATAGTGATAAGCTAGGGAGGAGTGCTAAAAGGAGCCAAGGTGTAGTGGTGACTGGAAGGTGACCAGGGAAACCACTGTAGGGTTTCTAAGTGATGAGATCTGTGACAAATCCCTGTGGTCAGCAGCAGGCATTGGATATGTAACTTTATTCTGTCCCATTGATCTTGTAGTCAACCCTGGTCTGTTCTGTATTGTTTTAATTACATAATCTTTGTAATAATCTTTAATACCTGGTGGAGTGCTCTGTTTACTTATTTCTGCGTAATTAACCACCCCTAAGCTTAACTTACTCATGGTTCTGCAGGGTGACTGCTCTCCATGTTTCTAGGTGGTTCTGCATGGGGCCTCTCACATGTGCTACAGTCAAACATTAGCCGGGGCCACAGTCATCTGAAACTCACTTACATGGCTGACAATAGATGTTGGCTGTTGCCTGGAGAAGACATATGTGGCGTGGTGGAATGGAATGGTGACTAGATTCAAGAAAGAGCTTCCCAGGAGGAAGGCTACCAAGAGACCGAAGTAGAGGCTTCAGTTTCTTAAAAAAAAAAAAAAAAAAAAAAAAAATCGGGCCAGGCACGATGGCTCATGCATGTAATCCCAGCACTTTGGGAGGCCAAGGCAGGCAGATCACAAGGTCATGAGATCGAGACCATCCTGGCCAACATAGTGAAACCCGTCTCCAATAAAAAAAAAAATACAAAAATTAGCTGGGCATGGTGGTGTGAACCGGTAGTCCCAACTACTCGGGAGGCTGAGACAGGAGAATCTCTAGAACCTGGGAGGCGGAGGTTGCAGTGAGCTGAGATTGCACCACTGCACTCAAGACTGGCAATAGAGGGAGACTCCATCTCAAAAAAAAAAAAATCCAATAGTAGAATTCCCAGAATGGAATTTATGGCATTTTCTATGGATCAAGCAAGTTGCAAGGCAGCCAGATTCAAGGGGAAGGGAGCTATTCCTCACCTCTTGAGAAGCAATGTGTGTTGAGGAAGGGAAAGAATTGATGGTAGCTGTCTTTGACTTCTACCATACAGAGCAAGGTCTCCACACTCCTTTCTCCTGTAATAATTTTCCATTTGAAAATTTTCCTTGCAATTCTCACACCTTTATTATTTCATATAAATTTTACAATCAATTTTTTTCTTGTCTAGATAACCATGCCATTTAGATTAAAATTGCATTACATTGCAACTTTTGAGAAACTATGGGAGGAGAATTGGCAACCTTATAATATTGAATTTGCTCATTAAGGAACATAGTTTCTCTGTTTATTTAGGTATTATATTTTTCGTGACATACATGTTGGTATTTCTACCCAGGCTTTTCTCTTTGTTTTGTCATGTAGCCCATGAATGAGACTGCACTGTCTGTGTGATTGGGCAGTTGCCCAAAGTTTAAGGTGTTAACATGCATTAATTCACTTAATCACTCCTCATTTCCTCCTTCCCTCAACCCCTGACAACCATGAATCTGCTTTCTGTCTCTAGATTTGCCTATTCTGGACATTTTATATAAATGTGTCATCCAATATCTGGTCTTTTCTGACTGGCTTCTTTCACTTAGCAGGATTCTACGGTTTATTGAGGTTCATTCATTGTGTGGCCTGTATCAGTATTTCATTCCTGTTTATGGCTGAATAATGTTCCACTGTATGTACATATGTATGTATACCACACTTTGTATATCCATGTATTTACTGGAGGATATCTGGGTTATTGACAGTATATTTCAGGAGTCCCCAAGATCATCCTCCCCCTTGATCTACTGCTCTTTGTATCTTATATGACCTGTGCAGAACTATTTATCTGGAAATTAGGTGATGGTTAACTAAATATAGTTCTTCTAAAGACTCATTTTCCGTTGGTATTACATCCTGAGGAGACTTTAACTCAATCTCCCAATACATTTGATCATCAATATCAGTATTACCACATGACTTATTTGCATGAGGTAATCAAATCTAACCAGCCATGCCAGTGTTACCCATATTGCATGTTGTGGTAGTAGATGCAGCCCCCCAAAATAAAAGTCAAAAGATGCTGGCACATTCCTGAGGTTCTTGTCAGCCACTAACAATTGGTGTAGTTCATCATCACCTGGAATGACCAAAATGTCTCCCATGGAAATGCGGCTCAGCTGTGTAGGCTTCCATTTAACTTTGTCAGGTTCCGAGGCAGGGCTGGCTTGAGTGGTCTTGTTTCCACTTTGGCTATGATGAATAATGCTGCTGTGAACATTCAGGTATACGTTTTTGTGTGGTTTCATTTCTTTTAAGTATATACCTTGGAGTGTAATTACTGGATCATATGATAACTCTGTTTTAATTTTTGAGAAACTACCAAAATGTTTTCCAAAACAGACAAGGTTTTACATTCCCTCAGCATTGAATGAAGGTTCTTATCCAGTTTCCTGTTCTTGCTGACACTCCTTATTGTTTGTCTTTTGAATTTAGTTATCTCATTGGGGTGACGTGGTGTATCATTGTGTTTTGATTTGCATTTCCCTAATAATGAATGTTATTGAGCACCTTCTCACATGCTTATTGGCCATTTTTCATGTTTTTGAAGAAATGTCTATTCATCTTTTGCCCATTTTTAAATTGCGTTGTCTTTTTATTGAGTTGTAAGAGTGGTTATATCATCTGGAACATGTGTTCCTTATCAGATATAGGACTTATAAGTTTTTGTCCCATTCTGTGGTTGTCCTTATTTTCTTATGTAACCTTTGTATTAGTCTGTTTTCATGCTGCTGATAAAGACATACCTGAGACTGGTCAATTTACAAAAGAAGGAGGTTTATTGGACTCACAGTTCCATGTGGCTGGGGAGACCACACAATCATGGCGAAAGATGAAAGGCAAGGAGGAGCAAGTCACGTCTTACATGGATGGCAGCAGGCAAAGTGAGAGCTTGTGCAGGGAAACTCTCATTTTTAAAACCATCAGATCTCGTGAGACTCATTCACTATCATGAGAACAGCACAAGAAAGACCTGCCCCCATAATTCAGTCACCTTCCACTGGGTTCCTCCCACAACACATGAGAATTCTGGGAGTTACAACTCAAGATGAGATTTGGGTGGGGACACAGCCAAACCATGTCAACTTTGAAACACAGAACTTTTTAATGAAATTGAACTGATCTATTTTTTGTTTTGTTGCTTGAGCTTTTGGTGACTGCTATGGTTTGAAATATGTTCCCACAAAATTCATGTTTGGAATGCTTATATTCCTGTTGGTGGGAATATAAAACCGTACATCTAGTATGGAAAACAATATGGTGATTCCTCAAGAAATTAGAAACAGAATTACCCTATGATCCAGCATTTCCACTTCTGGGTGGAATACCAAAATAATTGAAAGCAGGGTCTCAAAGAGATATCTGTACACCCGTGTTCATAGCAGCATTAGACACAATAGCCAAAAGGGAAATAATCTAAGCATTCATTGAGGGATGAATGGAAAAACAAAATCTGACATATACATACATACAGTGGAATATTATTCAGCTTCCAAAAGGAAGAAAATGTCTATATAGCATATAGACATATGCTATAACATGGATGCACCTTGAGTACATTATGCTAGGTGAAATAAGCCTGTCACAAAAACAAATACTGCATGATTCCATTTAAATGAGGGGCCTAGAATATTCAACTTCATAGACAGAAGGTAGAATGGTGGTTGCCAGAGGCTGGGAAGAGGGGGTAGGGGTTAGGTTTTAATAAATATCATTTCAGTTTTACAAGATGAAGAGAGTTTTGCAGATGGGTTGTGGGGATACTTCTACAACATTATCAATGTATTTAATACCACTGAATTGTACACTTAAAATGGTTAAGATGGTAAATTTTATGTGTGTTTTAACACAATAAAAACTGAAAAAAGGGATATATGTTACCCTAAATAAAAATTTCATATGCTGAACTCAGAACCCCCAGTACCTAAGAACATGACCTTTTTTGAAAATGGGATTGTTGTTAATGTAATTAGTTAAGATGAGGTCATGCTGTAATAGGGTGGGCCCCCTAATCCAATATGATTTGTGTCTTTATAAAAAAGGGAAATTTGTGCACAGAGATAACACAGGGGATATGCCATATGAAGATGAAGGCAGAATTCTACAAGCCCAGGGATGCCAAAGATTGCCAGCAAACCACCAGAAGCTAGGAGAGAAGTGTGGATTAGATTCTTCCTCACAGCCCTCAGAAGGATCCAGCCCTGCCAAGAACTTGATCTCAGACTTCTAGTCTCCAGAACTGTGAGACAGTGCATTTTGTTTTGTAAGTCAGCCATATGGTTTGTGGCACTTTTTTATGGCAGCCCTAGGAGATGAAGACAATATGCAACATGGTATGTCCATTATAGGACACTGTGGGCCATAAATGTGTTCTTTGGCCTGAAGAAATAAAACTTGGTGGTCCAAGTTGATGTCTTATCATCTGTTCCAGTTCTTTTATAGTATTTTTGGCATTTGAATCTAATGACTATGCAAAGCCCAGTCCAGAGAACGTGTCAGGACCCATTATAGCCTCCCAGGGATACTGGCTTCAGTCTGGTATAATCTACTTGTTAGCTATGAGTGGTGCCTTCCCACTGGGAATCTGCCCCATAGCCACCTGCAGTCTCTGTCTTCCTGCTGTCAGATAGGACGGTTCTTGTTGGCATTTGGTGCTTCTGAGGGTGGAGGAGGGACGTGTTGCTGAGCAGCCCATCCCTGCACGGCTGCAGCTCCCCTTTGTCCACTCCTTTGTTAAGCCCAGGTGGCCACCTCAAGGTCACCAGGATATCCACCTACCAGATCTGATCACTGAACCTGGGAGGGGTTCTTCAGGTGGGCATTGACATGACCTACTTTAATGTGCCCTTTAAATTCCTGCAGTGCTGTGCTCCATGTGGACATCCTTTCACAGCCCAGTTTGCCATTGTCCCTCTGCCTGGTCACATGGCCAGGCCATTGGCCACTGCCCATGAGTCAGTAAAAGTAAAAACCGAAATGTAGAAGATCCTATCATTGTTCAATTCTTCCATCCCAGGAAGGAGTGCAACATGTAATTCATCTCACTGGGCTGATTTGTTCTTGCCTTTTTCAATAAGAATTTTCCCATTACTGCTCATGGTGTGCATCCAGGCCAAACTGATGCAAGGGGTGGGGTCCCAAGGCCTTGGGCAGCTCTGCCCCATGGCTCTGCAGGGTACTTCCCCAGTGACTGCTTCCATGGGCTGGCATTGAGTGCCTGTGGCTTTTTCAGGCACACAGTGAAAGCTTTCAATGGATCTACCATTCTCTGGCCTGCAGGACAGTGGCCCTCTTCTCACAGCTCCACTAGGCAGTGCCCCAGTGCGGACATTGAGTGGGGCCTCCAAACCCACATTTCACCTCCAGACTGCTTTAGTAAAGGCTCTCCATGAGGGCTCTGACCCTACAGCAGACTTCCTCCTGGACATCCAGGCATTATCATACAACGTTTAAAATCTAGGTGGAAACTCCCAAGCCTCAACTCTTGCCTTCCTTGCACCTGTAAGCTTAAAACCACATGGAAGCCACAAAGGCTTCTTATGGCTGCACCCTCTGATGCAGTGGCCTGAGATGTATCTGGGGCCCTTTTAGCCACAGCTGGAGCTGAAGCAGCTGGGATTCAGGGTGACATGTCCCGAGGTTGTACAGAACAGTGGGGTCCTGGGCCTAGGCCATGAAACCATTTTTCCCTCCTAATCTTTCAGGCCTGTGATGGGAAGGGCTACTGTGAAGATCTCTGAAATGCCCTGGAGGCATTTTCCCCATTATCTTGGCTATTCACATTCTGCTCCTCTTTACTTATGCAAATTCCTGCAGCTGAGTTGAATGTCTTACCAGAAATTTGGTTTTTCTTTTCTACCACATGGTCAGGCTGCAAATTTTCCAATCTTTTATGCTCTGCTTCCCTTTTAAATATAAGTTCCAATTTCAGACCATCTCTTTGTGAATGTATATGAGCATATGCTGTTAGAAGCAGCCAAGTTATATCTTGAATGCTTTGCTGTTTAGAAATTTAGAAATTTCTTCTGCCAGATGCCCTAAATCATCTAAAGTTTGAAGTTCCACAGATCCCTAGAGTAGGAGCACAATGCCACCAGTCTCCTTGCTAAAACATAGCAAGAGTGACTGCAAACTCCAGTTCCCAATAAGTTCCTCACCTCCATCTGAGACCACGTCAGCCTGGATTTCACTGTCCGTATCACTATATGAGCATTTCAGTCACAACCATTCAGCAAGTCTCTAGGAAGTTCCAAACTTTTCTTCCTGTCTTCTGTTTTTTTGTTTTGTTTTCATTTTTGTTTTTGTTTTTGTTTTTTTTAGATGGAGTCTCACTCTGTTATCCAAGCTGGAATGTGGTGGCACAATCTTGGCTCACTGCAACCTCTGCCTCCTGGGTTCAAATGATCCTCCTACCTCAGCTTCCTGAGTAGCTGGGATTACAGGCATGCGCCATGATGCCCGCCTAATTTTTTTTTGTATTTTTAGTAGAGACAGAGTTTCACCATGTTGGTCTGGCTGGCTTTGAAACCCTGACATCAAATGATCCACCTGCTTCACCCTCCCAAAGTGCTGGGATTGCAGGCATGAGCTACCATGCCCAGCCGTCATCTTCATGTCTTCTTATAAGCCTTCCAAACTGTTCCAACCTCTGCCTATTACCTAAGTCCAAAGTCGCTTCCACAGTTTCGGGTATCTTTGTAACAATGCCCTACTTCTCTGGTACCGATTTTCTGTATTAGTTTGTTCTCACATTGCTATAAGGAAGTACCTGAGACTGGGTAATTTATAAAGAAAAAAAGGTTTAATTGGCTCATGGTTCCACAAGCTGTACAGGAAGCATGGCTGAGGAGGCCTCAGGAAACTTACAATCATGGTAGAAGGTGAAAGGGAAGGAAGCATATCTTCGTATGGACAGCAGGAGCACAGGGGAAGTTAATATACAGTATTAAACAGCCAGATCTCATGAGAGCCCTATCACAAGAACAGCAAGGGGGATGTCCACACCTATGATTCAATAATCAATTTCCAATTGTAAGATTCAATTTCCAATTGTAATTGGAAATTACAATTCGACATGACATTTGGCTGGGGACTCAGAGCCAAACCATATCACCAACCCTATAAAGAAAGCGAGGCACTGATGTCACACTGCTGGTGGATCTGAGACTTGATCTCAGGCCAGCCTGATTCCTAAGTGACGTTCTTACCCTGTTGCCTCAGGATCAGCGAGAGCTCTATGGAGCCTGTACATTGCTAAAGAACAAGTTGAAAGAATTTTATTTCCAACAGTAGGGGTGATAAGGACCAGCTGGAAACAACTAAAGCTTCTGGAATACATATCAAGAACCTCTTAAAAATGTGTCAATGAGCTACAAAATAAGAATTCCAAAAAGCTAAAAAAGTTTTAAAATGGAAGTGAAACCCAAAGAAGTAACTAAGGCACTGATGCCACTTTTCACCCTTCAGATATTTGCCTGTCAAACTAAACTTTGCTGTTTTTCACAGCGTGAGGTGGAAAAGGGGCAGCAGAACAGCAGACAAAGCTGAGGGCCTGCCCAAGTGGGAGGGGCTAAGAGGAGACATCATAAAGTGAGATCCAAAAGGACAGACTTAGTGTAAGGGTGAACTATGAATAAACCTGTCCGCCTCCCCCTGTATGCTTCCCTTGACCCCTGCTTCCCTAGGAACAGTGAGGAACATTGGGTATCCTGAGAGAAAACATCTCCCCTGAGAGTTTTATGTGTGTGTATGTGTGTATATATATATATATATATATATATATATATATATATATAGCCCTTTAACTGGTTTGTTCACACAACCTGGGTGGTCTAAAATGTCTCAAGCTTCAAATTTAAAGCAATATCAGCTTTTTGGTGCCTTCTAGGTGACTGACAGATGCAAAATGGATTGTCTTTGGAGAAACTCTGAGATACTTTCAAGGAATATAAGTTCACAATAAAAAATCACAAATGTAAAATCGGCAAGAGCCAGCAGAAACAATGGACAGAAAGAGCAGGCCTGCAAAAACTTAAGACAGTCAAGTTACCAAAGACAGTACAAAGTGCGTTTTATACTTAAAGAAATAAAGGAGTTGAAATAACTTGAGCATGAAAATAACCAAATAGATTGGGGAAAGTACCAAGTAGAAACGAAATGAAAAGTATCATAATTGAAATGGAAAGTTCAATGGATTGGTTTAACTAACGGTCATCAAAAAGAGAATAATAGATGAAGAAATAAAGAAGTTTTCAGACTCGAAAAAGCTGAACGACTTTACTACCTGCAGACCTGCACTATAAGAAAAGTTAAGGGATGTCCTTCAGGCATAAAGAAAACGATACTAATGGCAGCGGTGTGCCATCTGGAGCAGCCACTGTTATCACGCCAGCTGCAGTATGGAGGCACAAGTGGTGGTGGCAGAAGTGGCTGTGGGAGCAGCAGTGGTAGTGGTGGGTCCCCTGTGCCCTACATCCCTGAGGCAGCTGACTGCACCACCCCGACCCTTGCACAACTGGGAAGGACCCACTGCAGGCCCGGAACCTCTGCCGTGCCTTCAATCTCGCTGTGTGCTGCGTCTCAGGAGTCTGTGAGCTGATAGTGCAGCCAGGACTTGTGGGGTGGCCCCAGGAGCATTGGGTTTGTTTGCGCGGGGTTGGCTGAGGCCACCAGCCACCCGCACCTTGCCTGCTGCCACTAAGGGGAAAATGCAGACCAGTGGTATGGCTAGGGCTGCATGCTTTATGGAGCCAGAAAGTTGGTAGAGTGGGAGCTTCCCAGGTGCAACTGCAGCCACCCAAGCTGTGGCTGCTACCAGGGCACTCCTGTGCTCTTGGGAGCCAAGAGTAGGCAGGAGCCCCGCCCTCCCAAGTGCAGCTGCAGCCACCCAAGCTGCAGCTGTGGACCCAGGAATCTCCATACTCTTGGGGGCCCAGGAAGGCACCCCTTTCCCTGCAGGCTAGGAAGTGCCTGCTCCCACTGTCCGTGTTCTCCTTACTGTTAGCATCTGCTCCTGTCACAGTTCACAACCTGGGGCACTGTCTCTCTCTCAGCACTTTCGCATCCCAGCTGCATGTGTGCATGCTTGGAGTAGTGCTGACATGCCAGCCCCTTGGCCCCCTTTGGACTGTGGAGGCTGACAAGCATGGGAAGGAGGCTGAAGTGGGGCTGAGGACAGCTTGGCACTGGCCTGCAGGTACTCCTTGGCATGAATAACGTGGGTGCCATGAACAATGACAGGAGGCAAACAGGCTCTTGGGTGGAAGGGAGCAGGTTTCCAGTGAAGCCCCACCTGCAAGCTGGGGTGGGGCTGAAGCCTAGGGGGTGGGCCGCCAGTCTTCAGGGAGGAGATACCCTCTGTGCTGAGAGCTGAAGAGACAACGGGATGACCTGCCTGCAGAGAGGAGCTGCCCTCTCTGCTGAGAGCTCAGTACTCAACAGGACACCCTGGCTATGGAGAGGAGCTACCCACTGCGGGTCTCCTCTGAGCTGTCTTATCTCTCGGTAAAGCTCCTCTTCATCTTGTTCACCTTCCACTTGTCTGCATATATCATTCTTCCTGGTCTCAGGACAAGAACTGGAGACCTGCTGAATGGCGGAGCTAAAATAGCTATAACACAAACAGCGCTGAAACATGCCCCTTGTTTGTCACATTGCAAGCAATGAGAAGAGAGAAGAGAAGAGCTGTGGCTCTTCAGGGAGCCCAGACCTAGGAACTCCGAGCCAGGGCTGTGACACCCTCTTTAGGGCTCTGTGGGTTCCTGGCATCTCCAGGGTTCTGGGCACCACCACATTCCCTGGTGTCAGCCGTGGAAGCTGCTTATGGTATGCCTGGTCTAGCTGCAGCCTTGCATGGAGCTGGCACCCGTGCCAGTGCCTGAAGCTGCCTGCCCATCGCCTATCCCCCCTCAGCCGGCATGCCTGGCTGTGTGCAGTGGCCGGACCCCATGCTTGCTCACACACCCCTTGCTCCTCCGTGCCTGGCTTACCCTTGGCAGACAAGCGATCCAGGCTCATAGTGGGAACTGAGCACAGCCTGCCAGGCCGAGTGGGTGGAACAAGACCAGAGATCCAGAGCAAAACTCTGGAAAAGGCTCCACTGGCCATAGAGGCTTTTGGCTGATGAAGTAATACCTCAAGGATCCCGTAGCAATACCAGATGGAAATCTGGATCCACACAAAGAAATGGTCTACACCAGAAATAGTAACATTGTGTATCTATACCAGAAATAGTAACAACATGGATATATACTTTATATTATTTAAACTTCTCTAAAAGATAATTGTTTAGGAAATAAAGTAATATGCAGTTTATAATATATGTAAAAGTAAAATGGATGACAATAAGAGCTTAAAGACTAAAAGGGGGGAAGTTTACTATTCTCAGATTCTTAAACTGTACATGATGTGATCTACTGTCACCTGAAGGTCAGCCGTGATCAGTTAAAGGTGTACACTGTAAACCCTGGAGCCACCACTAAGATAACAAACCAAAAGATTACAGCTATTAAACTAACAAAGGAGATCAAATGGAATCATAAAAATATATTGGGTAAATCCAAAAGAAGACAGAAAAAGATGTAAAAGAGAATAAAGGACAGATGTGATGAGTAGAAAACAATAGCAAGATAAGAGACTCAACCATATTAGGAATTACATTACATTTAAATTGATTTAGAAGACAGGTTGTCAGATTGGATTTTTTTAAAAGCTGGTTGTATTTTGCTTACAAGAAATGTACTTTATTTATTTACTTATTTTTGGAGATGGAGTTTTGTTCTTGTTGCCCAGGCTGGAGTGCAATGGAGTGGAACAGTGCGATCTCACTGCAACCTCTGCCTCCCGGGTTCAAGCGATTCTCCTGCCTCAGCCTCCCAAATAGCTAGGAATACAGGCCCCTGCCACCACACCCAGCAAATTTTTGTATTTTTAGTAGAGACGGAGTTTCACCATCTTGGCCAGGCTGGTCTCAAACTCCTGAAATCAGGTGATCCACCTGCCTTGGCCTCCCAAAGTACTGGGATTACAGGTGTGAGCCACCACACCTGGCCAAGAAATGTAGTTTAAATATAAAGATGCAAATAGGTTAGATGTAAGAGGATGGAAAAAGATATACCATGCCAAGACTAGTCAAAAGAAAGCTGAGGTGGCTATACGAATGCCAAAATGGACTTCAGAGCAAAGGCTATTACCAGGGATTAAAGAGATTATTTCTTACTGATAATGTGGTTAGTTAATGAAGAAGACATAACAAACTTACGTCTTTTTGTACCTAACAAAAAAAGCTTCAAAATGTATGAAGAAAAGTAATAAAACAATAAGTAGAGATAGAGATAACCATCAGAGATTTTAATCCCACTCTCAACACTTCATAGAATAAATAGGCAATAAATCAGCAAGAATGTATTGGACTTGAACAACACCATCAACCAACTTGACCTGATTTATATTTATAGAATACTCCACCCTATAAAAGCAAAATACACATTTTCTCAACTGTGCACGGAAGATTTATGGAGATAGACCACATTATAGCCCATTAAAAACCTCAATAAATAAAAAAGTATTCAACTACAAAGTATGTTCTCAGGCCACAATGGAATAAAATTAAAAACCAGTAACAGAAAGATCCTTTAAATATCCCCAAATATTTGGAAATTAACTCACTTCTAAATAACTCATAGGACAAAGAAGAAATCTAAAGGAATATTAGAAAGTTATTTGAAGTTATTGGAAATAGAAAAACAACAAAGAATTTGTCGGTTGTCACTGAAGCAGTACCTGAAGGGAAATTTATGATATTACTGTATTAGAAAAGAATAAGGGTCTCAGATCAGCAACCTCAGTTTCTAATTGAAGAATATCGCCCAGGCGCAGTGGCTCACGCCTGTAATCCTAACACTTGGGGAAGGTCGAGGTAGACAGATCACCTGAGGTTGGGAGTTCGAGACCAGCCTACCCAACATGGTGAAACTCCATCTCTACTAAAAATACAAAAATTAGCTGGGTATGGTGGCTGGCACCTGTAATCCCAGCTACTTGGGAGGCTGAGGCAGGAGAGTCACTTGAACCCAGGAGGTGGTGGTTGCAGTGAGCCGAGATTGTGCCACTGCACTCCAGCCTGGGCAACAGAGCAAGATTCTGTCTCAAAATATATATGAGGAAGAGCAAATTAAATCTAAAGTAACCAAAAGAAAGGGAATAATAAAGATCAAAATGGGAATCAATGAAATAAAAAAAGGAAAAAAAATCAATGAATCCAAAAACGTGTTCTTTGGGAAAGATCAATGAAAACGACAAATCTCCAGCTGGATTGATTGGGAAAAAAGAGAAAATTATGAATATAAAAAGGGGATGACTGACATCACTAAAGATCTGGCAGAGGTAGTGCTCATCAGGATTCTCCACTGCAGTTTCTCTTTTTCCCCCTCTTCCATACCGTCCTCTTTGGAGAATAAGTCACTGTGTGCAGCCCACACATAAGGAGTGGGGAGTTATTCTCGCTCTCCTTTGGGATGGAATATATAACATAATTCATTTGAAATCCTGCATGGGAAATTTATCTCCTTTCCCTCATTCATTAACTTATTTAATCATTTATTTATATCAGTATGCACTCAAGAATATTTATTTTATCTAATACTGCTCTATTTTGTTGCCCTTTACACACATGGACTCTTCCGTATTGCCACAGGTGCCATCAGGTCTCCAGCCTTTGCACATGCTGTTTCCTCTCTGGGATTCCCACATGCCGGGCATTAGGTCAAGCTCCACGGGACTCCCTGAGATGGATCAGACATAGATCCCACCATGAATACCTCACAGTCCGGCTGGGAAGATGAGACAGGGACCTAACTATTTATAGAACAGAGTCACCAGCTTATAGGTACAAAGGAAGGGCATGGACAGCACAGGACACACTTGTCTACTGCTAGAGGTGTCAGGGGCAGCTTCTGAAGTTGGTGGGTCTCATGGGGCTCACTGCAGAGGTGTGACCACAGAAAATAGAAAGGAGGCATTCCATGCAGAAGGAAGCTAGAGTGACAGGAGCACACAGTATAGAGGTAGGGAGCATGGTAGGGGACTGAAGACTCGGACCAGCCCCCCATTGGTACATTTTGTGCTAGGTCTCCACACTCAAACATCCTGCAGCTCAGCTCCAACGACTGAAAATTCTGCTAATGAGAATTTCTCTTCTGCGAGCTTTAGGCCTTGGCTGGTTGGGCCAGTGGCTGCCTCTTATGTCCCCCACCAGTCGAAGCTCAGTTCCACAGGAAGAGCTTTGTGTTTTGCTCTAAGTAGCAAGGAATCCACTTGTGGGGAGTCCAACAGGGAGTGAGTGAAGGACTTACATTCCATGGGAGGCCTCTGGCTGTGGGCACAGAAGGGGCTCTGGGCTAAAGAAGGAAGCTGGGAGCCCCTCAAGTAGCAGAAGGACATTGGGGTCATCCCTGAGAGAGGAGACCTAGTGAGAATGAAGTGATGGCAGGGTAAGGTGGGGTGGGAAGGGGAGGGACAGGCGCAGATAGGGAGAGGAGGGAGTAATAGGGTAAGGGAGATGAAGAGAAGGGCAAGGAGGGGAGGGAGTAGATAAGGGACAAGGAGGGAGGAAAAGAGAGGAGAGGAAGACGAGGAAGTGGGAGGGTGAAGATAGGGAAGGGGATGGCCCAGAGGTATTCATTTGAAACAGCCCCAGCAGGACTGATTGTAGCAGTGGCTGTCCAGTGAGAGAGAAAGGAAAGAATCAAGAACAAATTCTAGATTTTTGACGTGGGAAACTGGGAGAAGTTGGGGACTTTTCCCATCTCAGTGCTTTTCACTGAGAGAAGAAAAGGAAGAGTCATATTTGAGTGTGAAAACGAGAGTCGCCTTTGAGATCTATTAAGTTTAATATGCTTCATTAGGAAGCTCCCTCATTTCCCCCGTAGCATCAACATTCTTTCTAAAACATTTGGAAAGTATTATGATTTTTATTGTAGAGTCCCCCGACCCCAACAATTTTCTTTACTTTTTTCCTATTCATTGGTCATGGAAGTTGCTTCCAATTTTCAGCTATTGTGAATAATGGGCTCTTTAAAGCATAGAACAGAGCTGGTTTGCAACGAACATTCTGTACACAGGTCTTTGTCAGCATCTCTGAATATTATATTCCTAAAAATTCCCAGAGGTACGATTTGTAGGTCAAAGGCTGTAAACATTTTACAGCTTCTTAATACATATTGCCAAATGATGCTGCAAAAAATGGCACCATGTACATTTTTCAAGAGAAGCATCAAAGGATCTCACTGGTCCTCGCCACCTGGACTATTGTAATGGTCCTGAATTGTTGCTAATTAGATGTGCAGAAAATACTATTTTATGTTCATATCTGGATAAAGTACCCATGAGGGTTTTGACTAATGTATAGAGGAGAAGAATCCTTTTTAAGGATTTAGATGTGATTTTACTGAGTTGCAGATGTCTTCTTCCCCACAGTACCTTGGGGAACTGAATACAGGTGTGGAGGCCACCCAGCTTGTGTCTGTGTTTACTGTCCTTCTCTGATTGGAAGCCTCCCCATCTTATTCCATTATACTTTGCTACTGTTCTCCCACTTAGCTGACCTGTCACCTCTTGCCCGAGAGTCTCAGGGTTAGTAATGGATTTCATGACTGCACACTTTAGTAATGAAGAACTCCATTATCACCGGAAGGGGAGTGATCCTTCTGTGGTGTCTGAGCCAAGACAGGACAACATGGAAGCCCAGCACGTCAAGGTCCAGGAGCATGTTCAGTGGCTGGGCCTGGGGGCAGGAGGAAGAGAAGAGACAGATGCAGGGAGAGCCCCCCCATCCTGCCCCCACCATGATTACTCATCCTTCTTTGTAGTTACATTACTTCATTGTATTACCTGGAAATAACCTGTCTCCTTGGTTAATGGTCTATTCTTTGGGAGACAGCTTTAGAGGCCGGCAGACCTAAATTCTAATCCTTCTACCTGATGTTGGGCAAGTCACTTGTGGCTTTGGAGCCTCAGTTCCTAATCCGAAGTGAATCTCACAGTGGCCACCTCCCAGGGATGCTGTGCTAGATGAACTGCCTGAGTTGGGTAGCTGGGCCAGGCTCTAGGTCACGGTGAGATGCTGCAGCTGTGGCTGTACCCTGTTAGTGCTGGGTCTGGAATCCCAGCCTCCAACACAGCTGTGATTAAAGAATGCCTGGAAGGAGCAATGCACGAGGAAGGAGAAGGATGAAAAGTTCGAGGTTAGCATCAGATGACTGGGGACTTGGCTTTCCTCTGGCTACTTCCCAGCTACTTTGGGCTCTGACACCTCTGGCCGGCCACACACACACCCTGAGCACTCACCATCTCCCGGAACTCAGTAGCCTGATGGCCCAGGATGACTGAGTGCCGGCAGATCTGGCAGGAACAGCTTGTGGATGGCATGGGTGGCCAGGGTCTCTGCCTGATAAAGGGAATGTTCTTCCCTCAGGAAAGCGGCCCAGGTGTCCTGGAGCAAAGGACTATACTGGAATAGGTTGGTGCCTGCAGCCTAGAGCTTGGACAGTTTCGGCAGCCAAATGAATCCTGGGGTTCCCAGTATTTGGGAAGAGGTTAAGGTATGTGGGAAGAGGCCAAAAACATAAGGAACCTCCCCGTGGCGTCAGGGTCCTGCTCCACACAGACAGAATCTGAGACGCCCTCCCCGGGGCACCTGGTTCTTCTCCAGTCCCTTGTCACCTCCCAAGCGGGCCTCGGAAAAGGCAGGTCTGAGGATGCGCACCGACGCGGGACCTAGTGCAGGCTGGTGGAGCCCCCTCCGCGGTCCTCTGAGTACAGCTGCCGGTGCCCACCTCTGAGGCAGAACTTGAGGAAAATGGGGTCAAATGGAAGGTACTGGTATCGGGACACACGCGGGGAGGCCTCCAAACACCCTTTCAAGATGGTTCGTGTTGACCCCGATAGGTCTCGTGTTGGAGGGGCAGGCACTGGGGGTTGCTGGTCGACCCGCATGTTGCCCCACCACAGAGCATCCAGGGCTAAGAGCGCGACAAGAGCCTCCTCCGACCTTAAGCTGTAGGTCCAAGCTCCCACGAACAGATGGGGAGCGAATGCTTTGCTAGCAGGCGGAACAATCCTGCTAACGCTAGGGACATCCTGGAACTCGACGCTGGTGCACAGCGGCCACTTCTCTCTC
Source organism: Homo sapiens (assembly GCF_000001405.40). NCBI lineage: Eukaryota > Metazoa > Chordata > Mammalia > Primates > Hominidae > Homo > Homo sapiens. The sequence goes on along the minus strand of NC_000009.12, from coordinate 39,791,725 downwards.
TCGCGGGAGCTCCAGAGAACAAGTGCAATACGTAACATCGGCCGCCAGGTGGAGCCCGACAACGGCGCAAATGGCAGTAGTCCATGTCGGATCGCTTCTCAGACCTGAGTGGGTGGAGCGCGTCTGGCTCCTCTCCGAGCTCCGGGTCAGCACGACGCGTCCCCAGCAGCATAAGGGAAGGCTGACTGCTGGGAAGAGTACAGACTCTCCCTACGTGATTCCCAGTCTGGCCCGTGGAAAATGTAACCGCGAGCCTGCGGGCCGGGCGCCCTGCCAGGCCGGGCTTTCCAGAGCCGCGCAAGCGGACTTAGAAAATACCGTGCCCTCAGGTATGGGATGAAAAACTGCAACCATGAAAGCTTTGTTGAAAACACTTTAATTCTAAAATTTCTGAACAGAGAAGATCTTTAAAGCATAGAACAGAGCCCGTCACGGTTGTTCACGCCTGTAATCCTAGCGACTTGGGAGGCTGAGGCGAGAGGATCGCTTGAGGCTAGCAGTTTGAGACCAGCCTGGGCAACACAAATAGACCGCTGTCTCTTAAAATAAAAATAAAAAGGCATGTATACAACAAAGACAACTCGAAAGCCATCAAGGACACGATTGATTAACTTGATAGCATAAAGTTTAAAGAAAATTTATCTGTGCACGTACCAGGACAAAGTCAAATGACAACAAATGGGTGTGGGGAACATCGGTGCAAATACATGCGTGATAAGAATACTGATTTCACCATTACTTCTAATAACAAAAAATAAAGAAAACATAGCCATTCAGAGGAGCCAGGTTTAAAAAATTCTGGTACATCTATACAGTACCGTTAATTTATGTTTTGGTTTATTTCTTCAGGGCGGGAGACTTACATGTAGTAACATGGAAAAATGTCCATGATGAAACAGTAAATGAAAATAGCAAATTCATGAGAATGCAAATTAGAATCATACTGCGATACCATGAATGCCTTAGACAAAATAGTCTTCAAAAGTGAAGGAGAATTAAACACTTTTTTTTTTCTTTCTGAGATGGAGTCTCACTCTGTCACCCAGGCTGGGGTGCAGAGTGCAATGGCGTGATCTTGGCTCACTGCAACCTCCGCCTCCCAGGTTCAAGTGATTCTTCTGCCTCAGCCTCCCGAGTAGCTGGGATTACAGGCACACACCACCAGGCCCAGCTAATTTTTGTATTTTTAGTAGAGGTGGGTTTTCACCATGTTGGCCAGGCCAGTCTTGATCTCCTGACCTCAAGTGATCCACCTGCCTTGGCCTCCCAAAGTGCTGGGATTACAGGTGTGAGCTACTGTGCCTGGCAGAGACTTTTGTAGAAAACAAAAATTGAGGCAATTTGTTGCTGGTAGACCTGCATGCAAGAAATGTTGGAATAAGTTAAAAGAAGTTCTTAAGAGAAAAGTAAGACATTTGGATCTACATAAAGGAAGAATATAAAAAATGAATATATGAATGTGAAGTAAAAACTTTGCATTTTCTTATTTTCAATTGATATAGCAGCTAATAAATAATTTGTTCAAAATAATGATAGCAATAGTTATTAGATGTTTATAATTTATTGATAAGTTAAATGAATAATAGCAATGATATAAACTAGGAGGGAAGAGTTAGAAATATTTTGTTATTATAAAATACTTGCACTACTCATAAAGCAATATAGTATTACTTGAAAGTAGACTTGTACTAATGGTAAATGTACATTCCAAAATCTAGGGCAACCAATAGAAAGGTTTTTTAACAGTAAAAAGAAAGGAAGAATTTACATGTTTAAATGGGAGAGAAAATGGAACCATATAAAATGCTCAATTAAAACCACAAAAGGCAGGAAAAGAGTGGAAGGCAAAAATAGGAAGAAAAAAACAGGACAACAAATAGAGAATAATAACAGACATGATAAATACCAATCTAACTGCATCTGTAATCACCTTTAATGTCAATGCTCTACATACACCAATTAAAGACTGAGTTCATCTGAGTTGATCCCCCACAAAAAAGACCCAACTATACATTGTTTACAAGAAACTCACTTTAAATGCAAAGACATATAGTTTTGAAGTAGGAAATGGAAAAAGATATACAAGGTTAACAATAATTAAAAGAAAGCTGAAGCAGCTATATTAGTTTTCAGACAGAGTAGACTTCGGAGAGAAAAGATAATTCTGGATGAATATAGGCACTGCTTGATAACAAAAAGTGAATTATCTGAGAAAATGTAACAATTCTTAATGTGTGTGCACCTAACAAGAGTGGTAAAATATGTGAGGCAAAAAACTGATAGAACTGCAAGGATAAATAAAAGAATTCACAATCATAGTTGTAAACATCAACACCCTCTATCAGAAATGGAGAGATCCAATAGATAGAAAATCAATAAAATATGGTAGAACTAAACAGCATCATCAAACAACTGGAAGTAATTAACATCTATAGCCTACTTAGTGTAATGACAGCAGAATACATATTCTTTTCACTCTCACATGGAGCATTCACCAAGATAGGCCACATTCTGGGCCATAAAGCCCACCTTAACACATTTCAAAGTATAAAAACCATGCCATACCTGCTCTCCGAAAACACTGGAAACTATTATACAAACCAGTAATAGAATGATAGCTGGGCAATCTCAAAATACTTGGATATTCAGAAATACACGTCTAAATAACATAAGGGTCAAGAAGAAATCTCAACAGAAATTAAAATAATTCTTTGAACTACATGAAAACAAAAATACAACTAATGTCTCCAAGAGTTTCTTACTTCCCCTATGGGAATGTCTGTATTTCCTACAGAGATCAGTCAAAGCTGGACAGGGAGCCTCCAGGAAGGGTCTCTGACATGGCTACAGTTTTGCGTGGGGCACAGTTGCATACAGCACTCCCTAAAACGTTTCTCTTTCCCAATTAGCTAGCTGAGACATTCCCTAACTAGTCATGGAGGCCAGGGTGGGCATCCCTTCCACCTGGTGGACTGAGTGGGGATTGGTCATAGGAGGCACCCTGCAAAATTTATCTAAACCCCTCTCTGGAGGCCAGGACAAATCTGAATGGACCATGGAACTGGGGAGAGCCTGGATGGGAGCCAGTGGTCAGGAAGGCTTTGGGGGCTGCTCAGATGGGGCCAGGTGTGAAGGCCTGAGAAGGGTACCTTGTTGCATGGGTCTGGTTGGCCCGATGAGTCTCCAGAAAGTTTCTTAAGACCCCTGGTTGGGGGGGGGACTGCATCTGGCTAGAAAGTGAAGGCCCCAGGGATGGGTTTGGTGCCCTACTTTCCACTCCAGTCCAAAGCAGTGCCTGTCATCAGAGGCACCAGAAAATATGTTCTAAGTACTCCCTGTTTGTGGGCACCAGGTAAGGATGCCCAGTAAGGCCTGGGAAGGCCTTGTGAATCCGGTCACAGTTCTTCCTGGCCTTGTCTATGGCATGCAAATTCTTTGAATGTTTGCAAGTCCCTCTCTGGAGGAGCAGCAAAGGCCTGAGTGGCTGAGTAGGCCTATTATTTTTATTTATATTATTGTATATGAAATTATTACTTATGTTATTTTTGTTATTATAAGAAGATGTAAAGTGTGACATCAAAAACATCAAACATGGGAGAAAAGGAAGTTAGAGTGAAAAGTTTGTGTATGCAACCAAAATTAACTGTTATCAGCTTAAATTAACCTGTTATAAGTATAACATGTTTTATGTAAGCCACAGGGTAGTCACAAAGCAAAACCTGTAATGGATACACAAAAGATAAAAGGAAAAGAACCAAAACATACTACTACAGAGAGCCATGAAGCCACAAGAGAAGAAAGCAAGAGAAGAAGAAGGGACCAAAGGCTCTACAAAGCAACTAGAAAACACTTTAACAATGGCAAGAGTAAGTTCATACGTGTCAATAATAACCTAGAATGTAAATGGATTAAATTCTGCAGTTAAAAGATACATAGTGGCTAAATGAGGTATTTTTTTAAAGACCCAGCTATATGCTGCCTACAAAAGACTCACCTCACCCGTAAGGACACATGAAGATATTCCATACAAATGGAAAGCAAAAGAAAGCAGCAGTAGTTGTACTTTTATCAGATAAAATAGACTTCACATTAGAAATCCTAAAAAGAGACAAAGGAGATTATTATATAATGATAAAAGGATCAATTCAGCAAGAAGGTATAACAATTATGAGTATACACCCACCCAACACCAGAGCAAATACTAGATCTAAAGGGAGAGACAGACTGCATTTCAATAATAGGAGACTTCAACACCCTACTTTCAGCACCGAACAGATCATCCAAAGAGAAAATCAGCAAAGGAACATTGGACTTAAACTACACTCTAGAGCAAATAAACCTAACTTTTACAGAAAATGTCATTCAACAGCTGGAGAACGTGTATATATTCTTCTCATGAGCACATGGAGCATTCTTCAGCATAGACCATATGTTAGGCCACAAAACAAGTCTCAACACATTTTTAAAAATTAAAATCACATCAAGTATCTTTTTTGACCACAATGGAATAAAACTAGAAATCAATAACAAGAGGAACTTTGGAAAATGCACCAATACAACATGCTCCTGAACAACCAATGGGTAAATAACGAAATTAAAAAGAATATTTAAGAATTTCTTAAAACAAATAAAAATAGAAACACAACATACCAAAATTTATGTTATATATCAAAAGCAGCAGCAGTACTAAGAGGGGTAGTTTATAGAAATAAATGCCTATATAAAAAGGTAGAAAGATTTCAAATATAATGATGCACCTCATGAAACTAGAAAAGCAAGAATAAATCAAACCCAAAATTACAGGAAGAAGAAATACTAAAGATCACAACAAAAATAAATAAAATTGAGACTAAAAATATGAAAGATCAACCAAATGAAAATATTGTTTTGAAAAGGTAGACAAAATCAACAAATCTTTAGGTAGACTAATGAAAAGAAAAACTCAATGGAATAGAATCAGAGATAAAAAGGAGATATTACAACTGATAAAACAGAAATACAAAAGGTCATTACAGACCATTATGAACAATTTACATCAACAAATTGAAAACTTATAAAATAGATATATTCTTGGACACATATAACCTACCAAGATTGAACCATGAAGAAACAGGAAACCTGAATAGAACAATAATGAATAATGTGATTGAATCAGTAATAAAAAGTCTAACAAAGAAAAGTCTAGGACCATATGGCTTTACAGATGAATCCTACCTAACTTTTAAAGATAAGCTAATGCCAATTATTCTCAAACTATTTTGAAAAATCAAAGGGGAGAGAATGCTTCCAAATCTTTTTTAAGGCCAGCATTACCCTGATACCAAAACCAGACAAGGACACAACAAAAAAAACTATAGGCCAATATTTTTAATGAGCATAAATGCAAAACTCTTTTAAAAAAAAACCCTAGAAAACAAAATCCAACAGCACAGAAAAAAGATTATACACCATGATCAGGTGGTATTTTCCCCCAGGGATGCAAGGATGCTTCAACCTACAAATATCAATAAATGTGATACATCACATACATCACATCAAGAGAATAAAGAACAAAACCTTGTGATTATCTCAATAGACGCAGAAGTAGTATTTGATAAAATTCAACTCCTCTTTGTGATTAAAAAAAACCCTCTCAACAAATTAGGTATAGAAAGAACATACCTTAAAACATTAATGTTCATATACGATAAACCCACGGTTAACATCGTACTGAATAGGGAAAAGTTGAAAGCCTTTTCTCTAACATAGAACAAGACAAAGATATTCACTTTCCCCTAAGATCCTTTCTCTAAGATCTAGAACAAGACAAGGATATTTACTTTCACCACTTTTATTGAAAAGTGGTCAATCACATCGTTTTCTTTTATTGAAAAGTGGTGAAAGAGTCCTAGACAGAGCTATTAAAAAAGAAATAAAGAGCATTGGAAAAGAGGAAGTCAAATTGTCACTGTTTGCAAATGACATGATCTTATATTTAGGATAAGCTAAAGACTTCACTAAAAAGCTGTTACAACTGGTTAACTATTTCAGCAAAGTGGCAGAATACAAAATCAACATACAAAAACCAGTAGCGTTTCCATATGCCAATAGTGAACAATCTGAAAATCAAGGAAGCAATCCCATTCACCATAGCTACAAAAATATAAAATGCCTAGGAATAAATTTAACCAAAGAGGTAAAAGATCTGTACAATAAAAACTGTAAAACACTGATAAAAGAAATTGAAGAGGACACAAAAAACAAAAAAACTCATATTCATGAATTAGAAAAATTAATATTGTTAAAATGTCCATACTACCCAATGTTAACTATAGACTCAAGACAATTCCTATCAAGTGACATTCTTCACAGATATAGAAAAAGCAAGCCTAAAATTCATGTGAAATCACAAAAAAGCCTGAGTATACAAAGCAACCCTGAACAAAAAGAACAAAGCTGGAGACATCACACTATCTGACTTCAAAATATACTACAAAGCTGCAGTGATAAAAAATAAAAAGCATGTTTATGGCATAAAAACAGACATATACACCAAAGGAACGAAATAGAGAACACAGAAACAAATCCATGTATTTATAGCCAACTGATTTTCATCAAAGGCCCTAAGAACATACACTGGGGAAAGAACAGTATCTTTAATAAATGGTGCTGGGAAAACTGAGTAACCATATGCAGAAGAGTGGAGCTTGACCCTGATCTCTCACCATATACAAAAATCAACTTAAAATGCATTACAGAGTTAAATGTAAGCCTCAAAACTGTGAACCTACTAGAACAAAACTTAGGTAAAATCCTTCGAGACATTGGTCCGAGCAAAGATTTATTGAGTAAGACCTCAAAAGCACAGGAAACCACAGCAAAAATTGACAAATGGGATTACATCGAGTGAAAAACCTTCTGCACAGGAAAGGAAAAAATCAACAGTGTGAAGAGACAACCTACAGAATGGGAGAAAATATTTGCAAAGTATTCATCTGATAAGGGATTAATAATCAGAATACACCATGATGCTCAAACAACTCAATAGCAAAAAAAAAAAAACAACAACAAATACTCTGATTTTGAAAGGGGCAAAAGATCTGAATAGACATATTTCTCAAAAGAAGAAAATCAAATGGCCAACACATAAATGAAAAAATGCTCAACATGATTGATGATCACAGAAATGCAAATCAAAATCACAATGAGATATCCTTGCACCCCAGTTAAAGTGGCTATTATCAAAAAGACAGAAAATGACAAATGATAAGGAGGATGTGGAGAAAGGGAAGTGCTCATACACTGCTGGTAGGAATGTAAATTCGTACAGCTACTGGAAATCTCCACACTGAAAAGCACTGTGGAGATTTGTCAATAAAACTAACCATAGAACTACCATATGATCCAGCAATCCCACTAGTTGGTATATGGCCAAAAGATAAGAACTCAGTGTATCAAAGAGATATCTGCATTCCCATGTTTATTGCAGCAGCACTATTCACAATAGCCAAAATATGGAATCAACCTAAGTATCCATCAATGAATGAATGGGTAAAGGAAATATGGTATATATACACAATGGAATATTATTCAGCCAGAAGAAAGAATGAAATTCTGTCATTTGTAGCAACATAGATGGAATTGGAGGACATTATGTTAAGTGAAATAAGCCAGATACAGAAAGACAAATATCATGCTTTTACTCATATGTGTGGGCTAAAAAAATGGGAGGTAGTGAACAGAATGGTGTTTAGCAAAAACTGGGAAGGGTAGTGGGAGGAGGGCACGAAAAGGGTTGGTTAATGGATATAAAATGCAGTTAGATAGATAGAAGGAGTAAGATCTAGTGTTTGGTAGCACAATAGGGCAACTATAGTTAACAGTAATTTATTTTGTATTTCACAACGTTCTCAACACAAGAAAACAATAAATGTTTGAGGTAATGAATATCCCAGTTACCCATATCTGATCATTACACACTGTATGCTTGTATCAAAATATCACAGGTACTCTATAAATATGTACAACTATTATGTTTTCATAAAAATTAAAAATAAAAACTAGACTATTAATTGTTCTACTTTGTGGACATAAAATATCTTTCCATTTATTTGTGTTTTCTTCCATTTTCTTTCATCAGTGTTTTATAGTTTTCAGTATACAGTTCTTTCACCTCCTTGGTTAAATTTACACCTAAGTATTTTATAAGTTTTTTGTTGCTATTGTAATTGGATTGCATTCTTTTTTTTTTTTCTGCCTCCCAGGTTCAAGCGATTCTCCTGCTTCAGGCTCCCGAGTAGCTGGGATTACAGGCACCTGCCATCATGCCCGGCTAATTTTTTTTGTATTTTTTAGTAGAGACAGGGTTTCACCATGTTGATCAGGCTGGTCACTCTAATTCCTGACCTCAGGTGATCTGCCCACCTCGGCCTCCCAAAGTGCTGGGATTACAGGCGTGACCGCCGCGCCCAGCCGGGATTGTATTCTTAATTTCCATTTTGGATAGCTCACTATCAGTTTATAGAAATGGTAAATCACCCTTTGTGGATAAAGCATGGGTACTCAGCAATTAGGAATAAACCCTTCAGCTAATGTCTAAGTTGCTTTCATTGTTACTTTATCTGTTTGATTTCTTGTCTAAAGTTTGATAATGGCAACTAACCCATTTTTAAGAGAAATTAAAGTGGATAACATGCATGTGATATTCTGTGAAAATTGCATGACTTCTTTTAATTAATTTAAGGAAACTATAGATGTGTAGTTAGGGCTTTAAACCAAACTGGTGCAATTTATTTTCTGCTAAATTACAAAGTTATTTGATTGAATTGACAAGTAATATTGCTTTGTTTTATTTTTAATTCCTTACTGTGCAAATTCACATTTGGGGAATGGAAGATTATATAGGAAACCTTGAACCACCTTTAAATAACTATATTTTTATTTATTAAGCCACAAACAGTTTAGTTATGTTGTTATGAGCAAATATATTTACTATTTTTTCTCTGCAATAGGAATAGAGATTTCTTTTGCTCTTCTATCTCAACTGAAAAGCATATGTTTTCTGGATCACTGCCATTGGCTCCTTCCATAGTATTTAATAAATATATGCATTTCATAGTGTTAGGCTTGTATAAATACACTACTAACTTCTCTTCACTATAAATGAACTTGAGCAACTCTCATATCTACAATTTCTAGCACCAGAAAAGTGACATTTTCCTTTAAGATGGGGAATAGGCCTTTTGAGGTCATGGTGGAGTCATATACTCCCTTTTATGACAATTATTAGCACCACGTGAGGGCAGAGAGGAATGTAAAAAAAGTATCATTTCAAGTTACTAAGCTACAACCTGCCACCACTGATGGCATGTCCACTTACAGCTCACGAGCCAGCTCTTCATCAATAAGTGCTGCTTTGCAGTGGTTTGTAATTGAATTGTATGATGTAAATGTGGAGACAGCCAATCATGATGTTACAGGATCTTTGGGGTGTCGATTTTCTTGCCCAGAAACCTCTGTGGACAGTGGCATCTTTGCCTGAGTTCTTGTCCTGCATCCAGGAGGAATGAGGTACGCAGACAAAGGAATGGCGAAGAAGATTAAGAGGAGTTTTATTTAGTGTTAGAACAGCTCAGAGAAGACCCACAGTGGGTAGCTCCTCTCTGCAGGCAGGTCGTCCGGTGGAGTGTTCAGCTTTCAGCAGAGAGGAGGCCCTGGCGAGTGTGGCTCCTCTCTGCAGGCTGGTCATTTGGAGGTCTCTGCAGGTCTCTGAAGCTCTCAGTAGAGGGGAGAGTTCGTCTCTGCAGCTGGTCATCCCATCGTCTCTCTGTCCTCTGCCCTCTCTGGCAGAGCCCAGGGCTTTTATGGACCTCAGAAAGGAAGAAGTACCTGCCAACTGGTCCATGAGCAGCCATTGGCGGCCCAGAGGAGGGACAGATCCCCAGTCCTGTCCACAGGATTGGCAGTCTGGCTCCCAGCCTTCAGGCCCTCCCCGGCTTGAAGGTGGGGCTTTACTGGGGACCCATCCGCTTCTGCCCAGGACTCTCCCTCCCCCTGCCATTCAAGTCCCCAGGGCTCGACCAACCCTGTTGGGAGATTAAAGAGGGTGCCAGAAGAGGAGAGAGGCCAGGCAGTGAGAGCAGACATCCCGGAGCCAGCGGGGGGTGGCAGGTGCAGGCTGCCAAGATGCCAGGGTCCTGTGCCTGGGAGGGTGGCCTTAGTTGCACCCAGGGAGCTCCCACCCAGCCAACTCAGAAGGGGCGGGGCTTCTGCTTGTCTCCGTCTCCTGCCTGCTCCATGGAGCCGGAAGCCCAGGTCTGCAGCAGTGGGTTGGGTGGCTGCAGCTGTACCCAGGAGGGCAGATCCTGTCGGTTCCCAGCCCCCTCCAAGAGCACAGGGAAGCTTGGATCCACAGCTGCAGTTTGGGCTGGGCTACAGCCTGCTCCGTAGAGCAGGAGGCCTGGGTCTGCAGCCGCACCAGGGAACTCATACCCCAACTCAGAAGGGGTGGGGCTCCCACCAGCTTCATGGAGTATGCAGGCCCAGCCATGCCTCCCTGCTGTAGCCCGCATGATGGCTGCAGCTGCTGCCATCAATGAGAGAAAAAAAAGACAAAATTTACCAACATCAGTAATGAGAGAGGTGATCTCACTACATACATTACATATATTAAAAGGCATAATAAGAGATTACAATGCAAAGCTGTATGCCAGTATGTTTGACAGCTTAGAAGTAAAGACAAATTCCTTGAAAGATGTAAACTACTAACACTGACTCAAGAAGAAATAGATGACATGAATAGTCTATTAATTAGATTGAGTTTATAGTTAAAAACCTTCCCACAAAAAAAATTCCAGGCCCAGATGGCTTCGCTGGAGTTTTCTAGCAAACATTTAAGGAAGAAATAACAAATAAACATAAACTCATTCAGAAAATTGAAGAGGAGAGAATACTTTTGAACTCATTCTACAAGTCCAGCATTATTCTGACACCACATTCAGACAGACATTTTTTTTTCTTTTTTGAGACGGAGTCTCGCTCTGTCACCCAGGCTGGAGTGCAGTGGCGTGATCTTGGCTCACTGCAACCTCCACCTCCTGGGTTCAAGTGATTCTCCTGCCTCAGCCTCCTGAGTAGGTGGGATTACAGGTGCCCCCCACCATGCCCTAATAATTTTTTGTATTTTTAGTAGAGACAGGGTTTCGTCATTTTGGCCAGGCTGGTCTCGACCTCCTGACCTCATGATCTGCCCACCTTGACCTCCCAAAGTGCTGGGATTATGGGCGTGAGCCACCATGCCCAACCTAGACAGACATTTTTAAAAAGTAAAAATACAGTACTTCATGACCACAGATGCAAAAAAATCTTAACAAAGTTTCAAAAAATTGACTTATACCAGTAATTCAAGTTTAGTTTACCATAATAAAATCAACCAAAGCAATTTGGCATAAAGACAAACATTCTGCAAAACAATTTGGCAGTTTCTTAAATGTTAAACAGATATCTACCATATGACATAGCTATTCTTGTCTAGGTATTTACCCAAGAGAAATGAAAGGATATTTTCATATGACCATCTGTGCATAAATGGTCATAGTAGCTTATTTATAACAGATGAAAACTGGACACAATTCAAATGCCCATCTTCAAATGAATGAACACACAAATTGAGCTATATTCACACAACGAGATACTACTCAGCAATAAAAAGGAATGAATTATTGATACATATTACACATTAATGAATTTCAAAATAATTCTGTTGAAAGAAAAAAGCCAGATAAAGAAAAGTAAATACTGTGTGGTTCCATTTATATGACATTCTGGAAAATAGAAACTAATCATGAGAGAGATCAGATCTGTGGTTGCCAGGGATTTGAGGGAAGCAGGGAGGTTATGGGGGAGGGGTTATCAAGAGGGAGGAGAATATTTTGCTGGGGTGATGGATATATTCCTTATTTTAATTGTGATGATAGTTTCATGGTTGTATACATATGTAAAAATTTAACAAGTCCTGCACTTTAAGCATGTGTGTTCATCATATGCCAATAGAGCCTCAATATGGCTGTTAAACAAAAATTACCGAACTGCTAAATATGTGTATCACTCTAGGAAATGAAAGACACCTCTTCAACTGCTTTTGTGTCTTGACTTTTTTCCCAAAGGAAGATCTATATTTTGCTTCATTTCTTTCTACTCTACATTTCTTTTTACTCTGCTTGCATTTAGTTTAAAAGAAAAAGCTCTCTGTTGGTGATTTCTAATCTATTTTAAAGTAAATAATTGTACTGTCCAATTAGAGACTGAGATAACTCATGAATTATCACACAGGTTGTTCTCCTGTACAATATATATGATTTTGAGTACTAATATTACACAGTGAATTCAGAATTGTGTGTATGTACATACATACCATAGTCTTATAAATAACTTCAACTTGCAATAATTAACTTGCAGTTAATTCTTACAGTAGTATGAGTTTGGGCCTCTTAAAAAAAGAACTAAAACCAACTCCCTGCCTGAGAATAGAAACACACACACACACACACACACACACACACACACCAAATTGAATAATCTTGTTTTCTCGCTTACAATTGTGGGCATTCATTTATGGAATTCTTGGCAGCTATGTTAGCATAAAACCCCACCTATAATTATCATTCATATTAGGATAATATTTCACAAATGTGGTCAGTATTGTCTTCTGCAACATTACAGTTAGTTGGTGGAATAAGTTCTAGTGTTGTACAGCACTATAGGGTAACCACAGTAAACAACAGTGTGTTGTCTTTTTTTTCAGATACCTGGGAGAGAGGATTTTTCATGTTACCAACACAAAGAAATGATAAAGGTTTGAGGTCATGGGCATGCTAATTACCCTGATTTGATCATTATACATTTTATACATCTACTGAAATATCCCACTGTACCCCATAAATATGTACAATTATTATGTGTCAAGTAAAATATGAATATATATAGTAAATAAATAAATGAAGTAATTTGCCATTACTTAACATTTCATTAAATGTATGTTTCCAAAATTATATTTGTTCTTGAGACCTTTTGAGTGATCACAGTTTCTGCTATTCTCCATAAGGCCTCAGTTTGACAGGGTGATGAAATCTTGAATAAAACACAAAGGAATGTGTTTGTATTTGCAGTGCTTCCCTTGCAGGTGAAATGGCCACCAGACCCAGGCTTTCTGGAATGCATTCATTTTCTGCAGTTGAAAGGGACAATCCCGGATCTGAAAGAAAGAGCCACAGTGACTCCAAGAGTGGAGCCAGGGCATGCTGGACACTGCATAGCTATGGCCACGTGTGTCACCTCCGAGGGAGATGTGAGAGAAACGCAGAGGGATCGCTTGTGACTGTGCCTTCTCGATGTATGATGGACTGTTCTGCTCAAATAGTAAGTGTGACCAAGGAGCCGGTGAACATAGGAAACAAAGAATATTTCATTTGACATTATAAGGAATGCGACAATTCTAGTCACTTGAAAGTGAACTATATCTGTCGAGAATTCCTAGTTTTAATTGGGAAGAAATGTGCTTCTCTTCTTGAAAAGCCACAGGTTATTGCTGTTATGTCTAATATCAGTCCTCTCTGGATTTCTCAAAAGATTTTCTGTATATCCTACCATTTTCCTTCTGTTGCTGCAGTTTGGAAGTAGTTTGTTATCAGGATTATCAAAGCATCATTGCTATTTATGACAATGACTTTAAGAAATGCAAGAATATTTGGAACACTGTAGAAAAAATATTTTAGCCTGGAAGGCAAATACTAATTTCAGGAACTATTGATCTGTTATAAAACAGGACCACTCAGACATTTAGCTCTAAGACTTTCACATATCCGTTGTTAGAGGCGTATAGTGGGGGGCATGACTCAGCTTCTGCTTAAGTACAAGGTGTTGTCTGCAGCGAAGGAAGAATTTGATTGTAGTATCAACAGAACCAGACAGAACTCTTTGAATATAATTATATATCTTGGAAACTGACTCATCAAAGCTATTAGATTACATGGCATCATTTAAGCATCACTGGGCTCTGTACTTTTCATTATCTGTACTTTTCATTATGGAGTATAATAGGCTTTATTTGGTACAGAAATTGGGTCTAAGATGAAACAACTTGTGATTTTTGAATAAACTTTTGGGGATTAGTTACTTTGATGTTGTCAAGATAGCACCATAGTAAGTCCTCTGTCTTTCCTCTTGATTTATTTATAATTTAGAATCAGTTTATGATTTTAAAAAATGTGACAGACACAGTGGCATGCACCAGTAGTACCAGCCACATGGGAAACTGAGGCAGAAGGATCACTTGATCCCAGAAGATAGAGACCACCCTGGGCAACATAGTGAGAGCCCCATCTCAAAAAAAAAAAAAAATCAATTCCCAATACCATTCCAGAACACTTTTAATATAACCAGATGAAATTGTGATCACTACTTTACTGTAATGTTTAAAATGGTCCTCAGTCCATATTTAAGTACAATCTTAGTGTTTCTGTGCAACCTAATATATTAGAAACAAAAATTGTATTGCATTTGAATAGGAAATACTCTGAATTGAGGGTTATTTCTTTTAACAGTTGCAATTAGATTGGTTAGTGACAATTATCTGTAATTTTCAGGCAATGCCTAGGCAAGTGCCCAAGGCACAGTAGCCTCCTCCTTGCCTCCGTGTGTGTGTGTGTGTGTGTGTGTGTGTGTGTGTAGGGTGGTAACATTTCTGGGAATTTGTCTTAACATAAAATGATACCACCTTTCACAAAACGACCTAGAGGAAGTTGGAAATCCCACTATCCTGGCTTCCTGCTGAGCAATATCTGCTTCTCTTTCTGACTCAGGCTGATGCATCTGTATACTTAGCTTCACTTCTCCAGTAAATAAGGGAGAGCTTTATTATAAAAGACAACTTCTATTGATTTTCAAGGGGGTGGGTGGTTGTCAAGCTCACTCCTTTCTATGCACTGAGGGAAAATTATTGTAAGCGATCTGTAAAACAATAGATGAAAAAAGAGGAGATAAAAATTAAATAAAATTTAAATAAAAACTAGGATCCTAAGTGGAAAAATAGCTTTAAATTAGAAATTGATACCAAAAAATAATGATATGTAATCTAAGGTGAAAATATTTTGAAGACTATCACGATATCTCCCTTAAATGTTATTTAGTTCTGAAAAATATGTATTGAAGAACTGTTATATTTTACTTTATGTCATATTAAGTGTGGTAAAATTAAAGAGAAACAAGTAGATAAAAGTAAAGATTGTATTATTATTTTATCACTCAGGTTATTTCAAGACTGGAGACATTCTTTAAATAAACCTAAATTATGACTCCTTGCACTTAAGTTTTGCTAACATAAAAAGTATGTATGATTTCAGAGATTTCTGCATATTTTGGAATGAGCTCTTCAGTTGCTTGTAATTTCCAAGAAGATTACCCATTTTACCCCTTAACTAAAACCCCTGTTCCTTTACTGCCTTGCTGCTTCACTTCATGGGGATATGTCACTGACCAGAGGAAAGATCACATTGAATTTCTGAGCCACGCTGTTTTGTATGGTTAAAATAAGATGCTCAAAGTATGATTTCACAAATCACATGGTTATTGCCATGCAAGGAGAATTTGTTTTCTTAAGTTCACAATGCTCAAAAAGGAGAAGAATAATGTGAACAAATCTACAGGGAATACACTCAAAAGATGAGGCACATTAACCACAGAGGGAGTGAGTTCCAAATATTAAAGTCTAGTTCCTGAAGTAGAAATGGAAGCAGGCCTCTGTGGAAAGGCAAATCGAATGAAAGTTTGAGGTGCACCTTTTTTTCAAGCGAATTCTCTGGAGAGATGGTGTCTTGACACCATGGAGATCCTCAAAGACACCTGGGGTCCCTTGACACCAGTGGGTGGTGCCAGTGATGCAGGCGAGGCTTCAAAGCTCAGCTGCTGACAGGGTGGGGCTCTGTTGCTGCATGAGTTCAGTCTTCCAAGAATTGACTGGCAGGGCAACCCTGTCACAGAATATGCTCTCCATTTTTGGAGAAGTGGCTGAGACTTACTGAAGTTCTCAAAGTGTTCATCGAGCTCTTATGTTTATATGTATTTTGAAATCCAGTGGTTGAGGTCAGTAACTCACATATGATGGGTCTGATGAGTTTTGACATTGCATTCTTTTTCCCCCCACGAGACGGTGTCTTGCTCTGTCACCCAGGCTGGAGTGCAGTGGCCTGATCTCAGCTCACTGCAACCTCTGCCTCCTGGGTTCAAGTGTTTCTGCTGCCTCAGCCTCCTGAGTAGCTGGGATTATAGGCACACGCCACCACACCCGGCTAATTTTGTATTTTCAGTAGAGACGGGGTCTACCATGTTGGCCAGGATGGTCTCGAACTGGCTACTCTCAAACTCCTGACCTCATGATCCTCCGTCCTCGGGCACCCAAAGTGCTGGGATTACAGGCAGAAGCCACCGCTCCCGGCAGACATCGCATTCTTGAGGGCTGGAGGGAGTACGGTCTAAGTTCTTGTTACAGCAAAACGTAGCAAACTATGCAAGTCTTTGGAATAATTCCAAAACTACATAATAGACATGAGCTCCAAGCTTACTGATTTATGTGTGTGCCTTCTCTGAGGAATATCTTTTGGTTATCCTTGTGCAACATGGCAAATATGTTTTAAAGTGAATGAGAGTTAATGAGAAAATTAAATTATAAAAATATTATGGCAATGAGGTGGATCATCGCAGTGTTCAAGCTACAGATAAAAATATGACATGCCCTCCAACTTTCATTCTCTTTTATTTTTCAGTAATATTCAAAATATTTATTGCAAAAGTTAGCATTTCAATGATGAAATTAAGATGCCTTTCAGTTCAAGTTTGGCAATTTTACATATTTCATGTGAAACTCTGATTTGAAATGTTGCTGAGGGTCTTTAGTATTGCATATGAATAATAAAAATCAAATTTGCCACATATTGGAATAAGATATACAGTATTTTATATGGCAAATGTTTCTCTTCCTTTTAAGAGAAGAAGAGAAATATTAAGGTGGTTATTACTCAAGTGAATCCTACTTAAAAGTAACTTTCTAATAGTTGAGAAGTCACTTATGCATACCTACGTGAGGAAGAAAGTTGAATTGACTGTCATTCATTCAGCCCAGTGGGACATCAAACTCTCCAAACCTTTCACAGTAGGAAAACAAAGCCAGGCCTCCTTAACTATGCTACATGGCAAGTCAAAACATGAACATAATATCTGAAAAAGCCTGAAAAACATCTCTGGCTAACTAGATCTCATTGCAGGCAGTGAGAGAGTGGTGGCAAATGTGAACATGTCTGTGTGGGGTGGTGGCAGGGGAATTGGAATATACGAATCCAAGGAAAACTGACTCTTGGCAAATTACTTGTTTTGGTGCTCCTCTTCATTTTTTTTATTATGGTAGAAGACTTTGTATACAAATTTCTCACTGTACAAAAAACAAGTTCTTCAGTTATTGCATTTCTGCAATATATTAAAATACACGAGAAAATCACATTAAAAAGAGGCATGATTATAGAAACAAAATGTTATTGCAATACGATATCAACTTATAATTCATAATTATATTTGTAAATATCAAATTATAAGTAATTTATGAGAAATTAGAGCCAAAGCTTTTCATACTTACTTTAGTGTTTTTCTAAAGGGAAAACGTGGTGAAAGAATTGTAGAGAAGACACAGCTTATCATTAATCCATTTGTCTTGATACTTAACACAGTATTGGTGGCGCATTGGTTCCAGGACTCCCTGGGGAACCAAAACCCATGGATGCTTGAGTTCCTTATGTAAATGATGAAGTATTTGCATGTAACCCACACATACACTCTCTCTTTAAATAATCTCTGGATTACTTATAATTCCCAATGCAATGTAAACACTATATAAATCGTTGTTTTACATACTGTTTTAAAATTTGTGTTATTTTTAATTTTTGAAGATATTTTATCCATGACTGGATGAATCCATGGATGTAGAACCTAGGGATAGGAAGGGTTGACTGTAACTGAGCTCAGAGATTCTGGAAAAGCACTTAAGTAATCAATATTCCAGGAAGGGGGACTTAAAAAGATCCTTGACTCTACATGAGAAGTTTTAAATACAGTTTTTTTTTTTCCTTTTTAGGGAGTTTGCAGGTCAGGTACAGGCTAGACTGACATCAAGATTCAGATTCCTTTTACTTTGATTTAAAAAACTTAGCTGATAGCAGTTTCACCATTTTAAAATGAACATGAAAGAAGAAATTGTAGAGGTAATGCAATAATTAAAATTATGACTTGCTAGCATCAATGACTTTACACAAACATTTGATAATAAATGACTGGGAAACAATGCCCAACCAATGATATACATATATATATATATATGTATGTATAAGTAAGAAGTGAAGTCAAATATAATTACAGCATTTTGTTTGGTTTTGCTTTTGTTCTTTGCTTTGCTTTTGTTTAACAATGAGAATCTATCCAAGCTATTATTAACATTTGATTACTTAGATGTCAAGTTTTGCTTTTAGTTCATAAGGAAACAGTCGATTTTATCGCTGGATACTACTGGTAGAAACTTTGAATTGATATTTCAGTGAAAACCAATTTTCATTGAATTGTCAAACCACAAATGCTATATATAATAGTAATTTAGAACAAGAAAAACAACCTGATTTTGATTAAAATGAGGATAAATAATGAAAAGTCACCACAAAATAAATTTTACTCTGTTGCTGGCTTTTGAAGAAAATCATTTAGATATTAAATCTATAGATAGAACATTTCTCTGCCTCATGTAATATTTTATTCTTAGTTAAAAGGTTTGAGGTATAAAGTAATGCATTGTATTTCTTTGTAGATCCTCCCAGTTATAGATATCCTATGAAGCAAAGTAAATCGGGAAAGGAGATAGCAGATGGAGTGGCAGCTTATGACATTCTATAAGTTGGTTAAAAATATTTTCCTCTTAGTATATAAATCTTGGAATTGATCTCTTAACCTTTTTGGTAGCACTAACAGGTGGTTTATTTTATGATTTTTTTCCTTGGTTTCCCTTTGCTTCCTGTCTTTTTATCACAAAGTTACTCTTCATTTGAATGCTTCTATTGGAAGAAATTGTTAGGTTAACAGAATGCAAGGAGACAAGTCATCCTGTCAGGTACAGAATTCAGTGCTGTCAAATTTCTTGTATTGGGGAAAATTTTAGGTAGGTGGAAGAAAAACCTTTCCCTTCACATAACAGATCAAAAGTGTCATGTCACCAGCATGAGAACCATTTGTCATGCTGAAAGAAACTTCTTTTCTTAAGTTTATGAATAATTACATCATGAGTGACAATCAAGATAAAAACTGTACTTTTATCTAAGTGCACATGTAATCGTGAGTAAAGTGCTTCCTGAAAGATGAGCAAGTATATTGCTTGAAAAATAATCTTACACTTATCTGTCTCACTTAGCAATCAAGCACACTGAAACGTGTTATTCTTCTAATAATTCAGGCAGGAAAAAATGTGATCAAAGTATGTGTAAAATTCATAGCTTCTGTCTATGTCTTCATCAGTGGTCAACCCAGAAACTTTCATTTAATGAGACAACTAAGATTAAGTTTGGAATAAAAGAACTGTATGAATTAATTTTAGAATGCTATATTATTTGTCTTCTGACTTATGAACTGTATGAATTAATTTTAGAATGCTATATTATTTGTCTTCTGCCTTCATTTAATTCTTATGGAATTTGAATTTTTCATAAAAAGTGGTTCTGAGCAAGTGCTGCAGTGGATACAAGATAACTGGATCCTAGCACTGGCTCTTCCATTTACAAGTTGCATGATAGACTGTGACAAGGCATCTGATATGGTTTGGCGCTTTGCTGTGTCCCCACCCAAATCTCACGTTGAATTGTAATCCCCAATGTTGTGGGAGGGAACTGGTGGGAGGTAACTGGATCCTGGGGGAAGATTTCCCCCTTGCTGTTCTTGTGATAATGGGTTCTCTCAAGATCTAGTTGTTTAAAAGTGTGTAGCACCACCCCCTTCACTCTCTGTCCTGCTGGCCAAGTGAATATGTGCTTGCTTCCTCTTCACTTTATGCCATGATTGTAAGTTTCCTGAGGCCTCCCCAGCCATGCCTCCTGCACAGCGTATGGAACTGAGAGTCAATTAAGCCTCTTTTTAAAAATAAATTACCCAGTCTCAGGTAGTTCTTTATAGCAATAAACTAATACAGAAAATTGGTAGCAGAGAAGTGGGACATTGCAGTAAAGATACCTGAAAATGTGGAAGTGACTTTGGAACCAGGTAGCAGGCAGAGGTTGAAACAGTTTGCAGGGATCAGAAGAAGACAGGAAGATAAGGGAAAGTTTGGAACTTCCTAGAGACTTGCTGCATGGTTGTGACCAAAATGCTGATAGTGATACGGACAGTGAAGTCCAGGCTGAAGTGATCTCAGATAGAGATGAGGAACTTATTGGGAACTGGAGTAAAGGTCACTGTTGTTATGCTTTAGCAAAGAGACTGATGGCATTGTGCCCCTGCTCTAGGGATCTATGGAACTTTGAACTTGAGAGAGGTGGTTTAGGGTATCTGTTGGAAGAAATTTCTAAGCAGCAAAGCATTCAAGAGGTGGTCTGGCTGCTTCTAAAAGCCTATGCTTATTTGCATAAACAAAGAAATGACCTGCAACTGGGACTTACATTTAAAAGGGAAGCAGAGCATAAAAGTTCAGAAAATTTGCAGCCTGGCCGTGTGGTAGAAAAGAAAACCCATCTTCTCGGGAGTAACTCAAGAAGGCTGCATACATTTGCATAAGTAAAGAGGAGCCGAATGTTAATAGCCAAGACAAGGGGGAAAATGCCTCTGAGATATTTCAGAGAACTTCAAGGCAACCCCTCCCATCACAGGCCTGGAGGCAAAAATGGTTTTATGGGCCAGGCTCAGGGACCCACTGCTCTGTGCAGCCTAGGGACATGGCACCCTGCATCATGGAGACTTCAGCTGCAGCATTGGCTAAAAGGGGCAAGATACAGCTTGTCCATTGCTTCAGAGGGTGTAAGCCCCAAGCCTTGGTGACTTCCACATTGTGTTGGGCCTGCAGGTGTGCAGAAGGCAAGAGTTGAGGTTTGGGAGCCTCTACCTAGGTTTAAGAGGATGTGTGGATGTCCAGGGAGAAGTCTGCTGCAGGGGTGGAGACCTCATAGAGATCATCTACTAGGGCAGTGCAGGAGGGAAATGTGGGGTTGGAGGCCCCACACAGAGTCCCCACTGGGGCACTGCCTAGTGAAGCTATGAGAAGAGGGCCACTGTCCTCCAGATCCCAGAATGGTAGATCTGCTGACAGTTTGCACCATGTGCTTGGAAAAGCCACAGGCACTCAATTCCAGCCTGTGAAAGCAGCCATGGGGGCTGTATGCTGCAAAGCTACAGGGGCAGAACTTTCCAAGGCCTTGGGAGGCCACCCAGTGCATTAGTGTATCCTGGATGTGAGACAAAGTCAAAGGAGATTATTTTGAAGCTTTAAAATATAATGACTCCCCTGCTGGATTTCAGACTAGCATGGGACGTGTAGCCCTTTTGTTTTGGCCAATTTCTCTCATTTGGAATGGGAGCATTTACACAATGACTGTACCCTTATTGGATCTTGGAAGTACCTAATTTGTTTTCGGTTTTATAGGCTCATAGGTGGAAAGGACTTGCCTTGTTCCAGATGACACTTTGGACTTGGACTTTTGAGTTAATACTGGAAGGAGTTAAGACTTTGGAGGACTTTTGGGAAGGCATGCTTGTGTTTTGAAATGTGAGAAGGACATGAGATTTGGCAGGGACTAGTGGTGGCATAATATGGTTTGGCTATGTGTTGCCACCCAAATCTCATGTTGAATTGGGACCTGGTGGGAGCTGATTAGATCATGGGAGCAGATTCCCCCTTGCTGTTCTCATGATAATGAGTGAGTTATCATGAGACCTGATGTTTTAAAAATGTGTGGCACTTCCCCCTTCACTCTTTCTCTCCTGCTCTGCTATGGTAAGACATGCTTGCTTCCCCTTCACCTTCTACCATGATTGTTAAGTTTCCTGAGGCTTCCTAGTTATGCTTCCTGTACAGCCTGTGGAACTGTGAGTCAATTAAACCTCTTTTCTTCATAAATTACCCAGTCTCACTGGGCGCAGTGGCTCATGCCTGTACTCCCAGCACTTTGGGAGGCTAAGGTGGGTGGATCATGAGGTCAAGAGATTGAGACCATCCTGGCCAACATGGTGAAAACCTGTGTCTACTAAAAATACAAAAATTAGCTGGGTGTGTTGGCATGTGCCTGCACTCCCAGCTACTCAGGAGGCTGAGGCAGGAGAATTACTTGAACCCGGAAGGCAGAGGTTGCAGTGAGCCAAGACTGTGCCACTGCTCTCCAGCCTGGCTACAGAATGAGACTCCATCTCAAAAAAAGAAAAATTCCCCAGTCTCGGGCAGTCCTTTATAGAAGTGTGAGAACGGACTAATACAGCAACTATTCTTCTGTGTCTGTTTATTCATCTGTAAAATTGAGGAGATTGGAATAAATGATCCCTCTATATCCCTTCTACCTTTGATGCTTTATGAATCCAGGTTAAAGTGTGTGGTACAATTTAAGAAGGCTCCTTTTAATATTTGTATATCCATTAAGGACTCTTAGCTCAGAACTTCAGTATTATTCAATGACTCTCTCTTTCTGTCTTCCTCCTTCTCTCTCTTTACCCGCATTCAGATCAACATATAGAACATTTCCATTACCTAGGAAGTTTCCTGTGTCCTTTCCAAAACAATCTCTTATCACCATTGATTAGTTTTGCCTCTTCTTGAACATATAAATGGAATCATACAGTATGTCACCTTGTGTCTTGCTCATTTCCCTTAGCAAAATGTTTTGATATTCCTCCAATTTTTGGTTGATATTTTTAGTTCATTCCTTTCCACTGTTATGTACTCTTCCATTATATGAATGGAATTCATACAATGGATTTGTTTATCCATTCTTTTATTGATGAATTTTTGGGTAATTTCCAATTGTTGGCTATGAATCTCCTGTATTAGCTTTGCAGCTGTAATGAAACTTTTAGTCATTTCCCTCAAGATCACAATATGTTCTCTTATTAGTACTTTGGCCACTTCCCAAAGAATGCAAGATCCTTACAAGTTTACTTCCATGTATTTGTGTATCTCTCACCCTTGTGCCATTGTTGTAATACACTTTTTTATTGCATTTTATATTTCTACAAGATATTATTATTATTGTAGTTTTAAAAAGCTTTCACTACTATTTACTCATGTTTGCCCTTTCTCTGCACTTCATTTATTCTTGCATTCCCCCCTGCTGCTTTTGTTTTCTGGTTTTTGATTGCCAATAAGAGCTACAGAAAATCATGAAATATTTCTTTTAATTGTTTCTACATTTAATGTTTAATTGTTTTTGTGCTTATTGTTAGTAACTTTTTGAAACACCTTTCATTCCTTTAAGTAGAGAGGCTCTTCAGCCAAATTTTTATTCCTTAATATTTCTTTTTTCTTCCAGACATTTTGTTGTTGATGAGAGCAGAAAAGATTTCCCTTTTTGGAAAACATTATCGGGCAAAATATTTTATGGGCCAATGCCTCCATAACCTGAAACAATTGAAAGAATTCTGGATTGAAATGATAGAAATTTTATTGGCTTCTGGATTTCTTGCTGTAGATTTTTTAAGAGAAAAAATGTATTAAATCTGTTTTTAAAGTTACTAAACAACTCTACTAAAAATTGTCATGCAAGTGAAAATTGTCCTCAGCTTCTTAGGCTACCATGTGACATTTACTTCACTACTAAGCTTCACCCAAATCACGCTTTTCCCATCCCTTTCTTGCCTGAGATGCTTAATGTTTTTTCTCCTTTTTTTCTGTCAAAACCAAAGTGTATTTGTTTTTCCATGCTAAGAGTTGATAAAATATTGTCCCACTGAGGCATAAATTAGTAAGAAAATGCCAACTATTAGTTCTCCCAGTTGGTTTTATTTTTTTCATTACATTTTAGTAGGAAAAATAGGTTTTAACTTAAAAGAAAGGAACCCAAAGATGGAGTTTCAAGACATCCAATAGGAAAGACAGATAGAAATACATTTCTCTATATAGATATGTGTACATATGTTTATACATATAAATATAGATATAGATATGTGTGTATGTACATATTTCTGTATCAGTCATGGTCCAGGTGTAATTTAAAACTATTTATGGAAATACTACATAAAGCACATTTATTTATTAAAAAGAAGGATTTCCATAGTGGAGTATAAAGTTCTTTAAACAGTTAATAGGAAGACTAGTCAGGACAGAATTAGAAAAATGTATGTGAATCACCTCCAAGATATGAGAGAATTACGTGCCAGGTGTACCATAAAACAAATTATATTAGTGTTGAATATTGCATATAAGAGTATAACATAATTATGAATATAAAATATATATTATAAATAGAATGTCATTTACCAAGGTTTACCACATTAAATAATACTGTTTTTTAACCTTAAAACATACATTGTAATAAAAGTTATGATGTTCAGAATTCTAAGTATAGCATGACAAAACCCTTCTCCTATTATTTTCTTTAAAATATATAAAAAACTTTTGCTGCTTTTTGGTGGATAATAACACACACACATGTACACACACACACATGCATCCCCATTACCTTTTAATGGAACAAGGCAAGTCCTTTAATGGGGAAACATGCATTCCTATTACCTTTTAACGGGACAGTCACCATTAAAAATGTCTGCAGTTACGTATTTCTAAAATCAGCTCTGTGGGTAAGAAATTTAATGTAGCTGCCGATTCTGTGCGGTTCTGGGGAAATAATAGTTTACAATCTTCTAATTTGCCTCTAATTTCACTTCTAACTCCAACCTGTGCTCCTGAAGCAAGACGTTTTTGGACCGTCAGCAGGCAGATGAAGGCCTGAGAGTGGTAGGAGAGCTATTGTGGGCTTTCCTACCTCAGGGCTAGAGGAGGGCTTGGAGACCGGCAAAGGAAAAGATGGACCATTTCAAGTCTCAGAGCAAAAATACTAAGAGACAAAGTTGGGATGGAAAATGAAAGTGACGTGGCAATCGATAGAGGAAATTTACACAAATCTGAAAATTCTGAAAAAGAAAAAGAAGCAGAGACAATGACTATGCATCCAAAGAGAAGAAAACTCTGAGCAAATTAAAAATGTGAGCTGCACATTCCCATTACTGGGTATATACCCAAGGGATTATAAATCATTCTACTCTAAAGACACATACACATGTATGTTTATTGCAACACTATTTACAATAGCAAAGACTTGGAACCAACCCAAATGCCCACCAATGATAGACTGGATAAAGAAAATGTGGGACATATACACAGTGGAATACTATGTAGCCATAAAAAAGAATGAGTTCATGTTCTTTGCAGGGACATGGATGAATCTGGAAGTCATCATTCTCAGCAAACTCACACAGGAACACAAAATCAAACACTGCGTGTTCTCACTCCTAAGTGGGAGCTGAACAATGAGAACACATGGACACAGGGAGGGGAATATCACACACTGGGGCCTGTTACGGGGTTGGGGGGCAAGGGGAGGGGGTATTAGGAGAAATACCTAATGCCTGTGGGGCTTACAACCTAGATGATGGGGCCGGGCGCGGGGGCTCCTGCCTGTCATCCCAGCACTTTGGGAGGCCGAGGCGGGCGGATCACGAGGTCAGGAGATCGAGACCATCCTGGCTAACACAGTGAAACCCCGTCTCTACTAAAAATACAAAAAATTAGTCGGGCGTGGTGGCGGGCACCTGTAGTCCCAGGTACTCTGGAGGCAGAAGCAAGAGAACGGCGTGAACCTGGGAGGCAGAGCTTGCAGTGAGCCAAGATCGCGCCGCTGCACCCTAGCCTGGATGACAGTGCGAGACTCCGTCTCAGAGAAAAAAAAAAAATCTAGATGACGGGTTGATAGGTGCAGCAAACCACCATGGAACATGTATACCTATGTAACAAACCTGCACTTTCTACACACGTACGCCACAACTTAAAGTAAAAAAAAAAAAAAAAGGCCTGGTGCAGTGGCTCACGCCTGTAATCCCAGCACTTTCAGAGGCCGAGACGGGCAGATCACAAGGTCAGGAGATGGACACCATCCTGGCTAACACGGTGAAACCCCGTCTCTACTAAAAACACAAAAAATTAGTCGGGTGTGGTGGCGGGCACCTGTAGTCCCAGCTACTCTGGAGGCAGAAGCAAGAGAACGGCGTGAACCTGGGAGGCGGAGCTTGCAGTGAGCCAAGATCACGCCACTGCACTCCAGCCTGGGCCACAGAGCGAGACTCCGTCTCAAAAAAAATAGATAAATAAATAAAGTGAGCTGCAGTTTGAAAGGGCTCACCAACTTAGACTGATGGTATTTGTGTTGTTTGAGTTTCTTATGTTTTGGATATTGACCCTTTATTAGCTGTATAGTTTGCAAATATTTTTTCCCGTTCTGTGGGCTGTCCCTTCACTTTAAAGGTTTGCTGTGAAGAAGCTTTTTAGTTTGATGCCATTTTATTTCTCTCTTTTTGCTTTTTGCTTCTGTTGCCTGTGCTTTTGGGGTCATATCCAAATAATCATTGCCCCAGCCAATGTTGTGGGGATTTTTCTCTGTTTTCTTTTAGTAGTTTCACAGTTTCAGATATTATGTTTAGATTTTTAATCCATTTGGGTTGATTTTTGTATGTGGTATAAAATATGGATCTGATTTCATTCTCCTTCATGTGGATAGCTAGTTTTCCCCACACTATTTTTTGAAGATATTGTCCTTTCCCCATTGTGTGTTCTTGGCACCTTGGTCAAAAATCAATTGATCATACATGCATGGGTTGATTTCTGGGCTTTCTATCCTGTTTCATCAGTCAGCTTATTTTTATGCCAGTGTCATGCTATTTTCATTACAATAACTTCATAAGATTTTTGAAATTAGGGAGTGTAATGACACCAGCTTTTTTCCTTTTGCCCAAGATCGTTTTGACTCTTTAGGGTCTTTTGTAATTCCACATAAATTTAAGGATATTTTATATTGCTGTGAAAAATGACATTGGAATTTTGAGAGAGATTACATTGACACTGTAGATCATTTTGGGTTGTATGGACATTTTTGAAAGAGCGGTGTTGAGGTTCCATAATATTGTAGTATTGCCATTTATTTATCCCTTCATGTCATTTAATAATTGCTTTACGTATTTAGGTGCTCTGATGTTGGGTGCATATATAATTACAACTGTTATGCCCTCTTGGTGAACTGACCCCTTTCTCATTATTTAATGACCTTCTTTATCTCTTTTTACAGTTTTTGATTTAAAGACGATTTTGCTTGATATAAATATAGATACTCCTGGTCTCTGTTGGTGTCTATTTGCAATGAATATCTTTTTCCATACCTTCAGTTTCAGTCTGTATGTGTCCTCACTAGTAGAGTGAGTCTCTTGTAGGCAGCATATGGTTCTTTAAAAAGAAAATTTATTCAGCTGTCCTGAGTCTCTTGTTTGGAGAATTTAATCTGTTTACATTCAAAGTAATTACTGATAGGTAAGCACTTGCTACTGCTGTTTTGTCATTCATTTTCTGAATTTTTTGTAAGTCCCTGTTTCTTTATTTCTCTCTTGTTGTTTTCTTTTTGCTTTGTGGTTACCATGAGGCTTACATAAAATATCTGAGCTTTATAACACGCTACATTAAGCTGATAATAATTGAACTTTAATCTCATACTCTCACTCCCCCCTTTTATAATTTTGATGTAAAATTTTTAATTTGTTTTTGTAATTTGTATTCCTTAACAATTGCAGCTACAGTTGCTTTTAATAGTTTTTCCTTTTAATCATCACAGTAAGGATACGATTGCTTTATGTATCACCCATACAGTGTTAGAGAATGAGTTTGATTATGTATTACTTAATACCATTGAGTTATTGAGATTTTTACATGCATTTTTTTTGTTATTAAGTAGAAACCTTCCATTTCAGCTTAAAGAACTGCCTTTAGCCATTCCTGTAAAGCAGGGATAATGTAATAGACTCCCTTAGGATTTGTTTGTCTGGGGAAGTTGGAATTCTCTCTTATTTCTTTTTTTATCTTTTTTTTTTTTTGAGATGGAGTCTTGCTCTGCTGCTGCAATCTTGGCTCACTGCAACCTCTCCCTCCCAAGTTCAAGTGATTCTCCTGCCTCAGGCTCCCAAGTAGCTGGGAATACAGGTGCATGCCACCACACCCAGCTAATTTTTGTATTTTTAGTAGAGATGGGGTTTCACCGTGTTGGCCAGAATGGTCTTGATCTCCTCACCTCGTGATCTGCCCACCTAGGCCTCCCAAAGTGCTGGGATTACAGGCGTGAACCACCCTGCCCAGCCAATTCTCTCTTATTTTTTAAGGACAACTTTGCCAAGTAAAAAATTCCTGGTTGGCAGTTCTTTTTCTTCAGCACTTTGAATATATCACCCCAATCTCTCTTGGCCTGCCGAGTTTTTGCTAAGAAGTCAACTGAAAGTCATATTGTGGTTTCTTGAATGTGATATGTTTCTTATCTCTTGCTGCTTTCAGTTTTGTTTCTTTGTCTTTGATTTTTGATAAATTGATTATGTTTTATCTTGGTAAATTCCTTTTTGAGTGGAATTTGATTGGAGACTTTTGAGCTTCCTGTATTTAGATGTTGTCATCTTTCCCCAGATTGGGGAAATGTTCAGCCATTTTCTTAAATATCCTTTTTGGGCCTTCTTCTCTATCTTCTTCTGAATCTCCGATTATGTGAATATTAGTTTGCCTGATGGTATCTCATAATTCCTGTAGGCCTCCTTTATTCTTTTTCTTTTTGCTCTTCAGACTGGATAATTTCAATATACCTATCTTTGAATTCAGTGATCCTTTCTTTTGCTTGATCAAGTCTGCTGTCAAAGCTTTCCATTGACATTTTCAGTTAAACTATTGTATTCTTTATACCTCAGATTTCTATTTGGTTTCTATTTATCATCTCTAGTTCTTTGTCAATTTCTCATTTTGTTCATGAATTGGTTTCAAACTTAATTTAATTTAACTGGAGTTCCCTGAACTTCTTTAAGGGGGTTATCCTGAACTCTTTGTCAGTCATTTTATAGATCACCTTATATTCCAGAGCTATTATCTGATCTTTATTATTTTCTTTTAGTGGTGTCATATTTCCCTGACTTTTCATAATACTTCTGTCTTGCATTGATGCTTCTGTGTTTGAGGAGACGGCCACCTCTTCCAGGCTTTGACAGATCTTTACTACTTCGTAGGAAGGGATTCTGGATGTGTTAGCTGGCAATGACCCTGGACGGGCAGAGCTTGGTGTCAGGTTCTCTAGTTGGGCTGTGTCACTTCCTGAGCCCTAAGGTTGAATGGTACTGCTAACTGGACTCTGCAGTTCACTCTGATCCAGCAGGATTGTAGGCTGTCTCCGCTGGTTGGATGGTATTGTTGTTTAGAATCTATAGTTGAGCAGGCCTTTGTGCTGAGCTCTATGGTCTACTAAAGACTCTGGTGTTGTTGCTCAGCTACACAGGGCTGATCAGGGCTAGAAGCCATTATGCCCCACACATATGTGCGGACTTGATCTTGTCTCCTGGCCTAAGGTAGGCTTAAACAAAGCTTAGTGGAGTCCCTGGTCAGCTGCTGGTGCTGGGTGGGGACCAGATGTACCCTCTGCAGAGAAGTGCTGACTTTCACTTGCCTTCTAGCCTGGGCAATGCTGTAGAAAGCACCAGGTCTATGTAGGAAAGCTGGCGAGGGATGCGAGCTGGGTAGATCTGTGAGCTGTACTTCCTGCGGTACAATGCTGTTGGCTAGTCTCTCTCATATGATGCCTCCATTAGCCAGAATGCAGACTAACTACATGCTAGTCTCTGTGAGATCTACTCCCATTCTTTGTTTCTAGCTGACTCCAGGTGGTCTAGCCCCGATGGCACTCCTAATGTTTCCTGTGGTATAAGACAAGGATGAGCCTCCTGTGAAGGGTCCTAGAATGGTGGGCAAGCTGAATGTCCACCTCCAACTTTCTTTTCCCACTGTAGAAATTGTGGGTCTGGTGAAATCCTCTGTGTGTCGTGCTGTGCCAGCTTGGTGGAGGGGTGACATGCTCAAAATGAACTGTTCCTCTTACCCTTCAAAGCACAGCTTTTCTTAGTTCTGCAGTACAATTGGGTGTCTCAGTCTCACTCCTGAGTTCTGGGATATTCAGAAAGGTATTCTTGCCTGTGGATAGTTGCTAGTTGGATTTCCGTGTGGGGGTGTGGAGCTGGAGAAATTCTATTCTGCCACCTTGTGAAGTCATTCTCTGGAATAATTTTAGATTTACATAGAGTTGCAAAGATGGTAAAGACAGTTCCTATACACTCTTCACTTAGTTTCTTCTGATGTTAACCTCTTACGTTACCATGGCACATTTATTAAAAACGAGAAATTAACATTGTACAATACTATTACCTAAATGACAGGCTATATTTAACCAGTTTTTCATTTTTGAGAGGAAGTCTCACTCTAATGCCTAGGCTGGAGTGCAGTGGTGCGATCTTGGCTCACTGTAACCTCAACCTCCTGGTTTCAAGTGATTTTCATTCCTCAGCCACCCGAGCAGCTGGGATTACAGGTGCCCAACACCACATCCGGCTAATTTTTGTATTTTTAGTAGAGATGGGATTTCACCACGCTGGCCAGGCTGGTCTCAGACTCCTGACCTCAGGTGATCCACCTGCCTTGCCTCCCAAAGTGCTGGGATTACAGGAGTGAGCCACCGTGCCCGGCCCACATTTCACCAGTTTGTTTTTGTTTTTGTTTTTGTTTTTGTTTTTAACTAATTTCTTCTCTTTGTTCCCAGGTACCATCCAGGATCTCATATTGTGTTTAGTCTTCATGTCTCCTTAGTCTACTTCAATTAGGGACAATCTCTCTGTCTTTCCTGGCTTTGACACCTTGAAGACCACTGACCAGATATTTTTTTAGAATGTGCATCAAATGATTTGAGTTCATCTGATGTTTTCTCTTGATTAAAGTGGGGTTGTAAATTTTGAGGAAGAATTTCACATAGCTGAAGTGACCTTCCCATTGTGTCACGGTGGTGTGAGGTAGCCATATGACTTTTCATTGTTGATGTTAACCTTGATTACTTGGTTGTGTTGGTGACTTGATGGTTTCTTCCACTACAAAACTACAGTTTTTACTTTTCCATATTCCATTTCTTAAAAGTCAGTCATTAAGACCAACCTGCAAGACTGGGCACAGTGGCTCATGTCTGTAATTCCAGGACTTTGAGAGACCAAGGTGGGCAGATTGCTTGAGCCCAGAAGTTCAAAACCAGCCTGGGCAACATGGTGAAACCCCATCTCTACAAAAGTTACAAAAATTAGCCAGGTGTGGTGGAGTGCACCTGTAGTCTCAGCAATGTGGGAGGCTGAGGTGGGAGGATCACTTGAGTCTGGGATGTTGGGGTTGCAGTGAGCTGTGATTGTGCCAATGCACTTCGGCCTGGATGACAGAGGAAGACCTTATCTCAAAAACAAAAACCCAAACCACAAAAACAAGACTAACTTGCAAGCCACATGAGGGGAATTCAACTTCACCTTAATTCAAAGACACCAGAGTAATTAACAAATATTTAAAGAATTTTTCAATGGTTATAGAATTCTGGATTGATAGGTTTTTAAAAATTCTTTTATGACTTCAAAAGTGTCACTTTGTTTCTTGCTTGCATGGTTTCTGATATGAAGTCAGCTCCCATTCTTAACCTTGTTTCTTGTTTGATAATGCCTTTTTTCCTCTAGCTTCCTCAAGATGTTTCTCTTTTGAGAAAAATGAGAGATTTTCAGTTTTTGTGTTGATTTCTCTTTGTCTCTGGTTTTCAGCAATTTGAACACATTCCATATCATTTTAAGAGTTCTTCATCGGGGGTCACTGGACACATGTGTCACAATTAACAAAGGGGAACACATTCTCCAAATGTGTTCTGTTTCCCCAGGAAGCCAGCTGGAAATACAACAAAATGCCTCTCCCTCTCCTTTAGCAAAACACGTGTCAGAGCAATGCAAGATTTGATTGGGACTGCTTTGCTTCGTTAACTATTACAGTGAGCTGTTTTTCTTTCTAGTAACAACCCAGTAATAGTTATTAAATTATTTGGAGCTAAATAAGTGTAATGGTAATTTTCATTTAAATTTTGCTATATGGTAGCTTAGAGCATCTTACCTGTACACAGTTCCAAACGCAGAAAACCTAAATGAAATTAACATATATGTATCGTTACAGGTTCTCAAAACCATCATAAATGGCTCTATTTTACATCTCTGAGCTCTTCTATGATGTTTCCTTTAACTATGTCACAAGACCTAAGACTATGGTTTGAAATATATACCTACTATAAAAAAGTAAGCCTTCCTGCTAGTGTCAATAGATAAAAACAAAACAGACAAAACGACAACCAAAAATGCCCAGAAATCCTTTTTTTTTTTTTTGAGATGGAGTCTCACTCTGTCACCCAGGCTGGAGTGCAGTGGCATGATCTCAGCTCACTGCAACCTCCGCCTCCCAGGTTCAAGCAGTTCTCCTACCTCAGCCTCCTGAGTAGCTGGGACTACAAGTGCCCACCACCATGCCTGGCTATTTTTTGTGTGTATTTTTATAGATACAGGGTTTCACTGTGTTAGCCAGGATGGTCTCGATCTCCTGATCTCGTGATCTTCCCGCCTCGGCCTCCCAAAGTGCTGGAAACCCTATTTTTAAATGCCTATTTGCATTCCTAATAACCCGTGAATACATACATCTATTGATCTATGTATTCATGCATCTCTATATGTAAATGTCTGTCCAAAATGCCACTATATATATATTTATATGTTAAACTTTTATTTTAAGTTTGGGTTACATGGGCAGGTTTGTTATATAGGTAAACGCGTGTCATAGGGGTTTGTTGTACAGATTATGTCATCACTCAGGTAT
The DNA here is from genome assembly GCF_000001405.40 of Homo sapiens. Classification (NCBI taxonomy): domain Eukaryota; kingdom Metazoa; phylum Chordata; class Mammalia; order Primates; family Hominidae; genus Homo; species Homo sapiens. The sequence goes on along the minus strand of NC_000009.12, from coordinate 39,758,712 downwards.
TAAGCCTAGTAACCAATAGTTATTTTTTGTACCCCTTTCCCTCCTCCCACCCTCCAATCTCAGGTAGGCCCCAGTGTGTGTCTTTCCCCTCTATGTATCCATGTGTTCTCATCATTTAACTCCCACTTGTAGGTGAGAAGATGCGGTATTTTGTTTTCAGTTCCTCTGTTAGTTTGCTAAGGATAATGGCCTCCAGCTTCATCATGTTCCTGAAAAGGACATGATCTCATTCTTTTTTATAGTTGCATAGTATTCTACTATTCCACGGTGTATATATACCACAATATGTTAAATTTTAGTTTATTACAACTTATATGCAACATACAATGGCAAGATGAATCAGATCAGAAGATAAACAATTGAGTGTGAAAAGACAGCAGATTTTTCCTGTTTTATTCTCTGCAGATGTAATTTTCAACGAGAATACATTTTATTGCATTAGTAGTGCTTTTAGAAGAGACATCTATATGATGCCCAGGCTGGTCTTGAACTCCTGGTCTTAAGCGATGCTCCCTCCTAAGCTTCCCAAAGTGGTAAATTGTACTTCCTGAGGGCATAGAAAAGAGACATAGAAGCAAGTGAAATTGGTATTACCCTTTTTTCTGTTATTCTTTATTAGTAAAACAAATTAGGTTTTTCTTTCCTTGGTTTTCATGTGTCCAAGCTCCTTTCTCTTTCATTTCACATGTGCACAAATATAATAGCATACTTTTGAACATCAAAAGTTGAATGATGAAAGATCATTCGTTAGCCCAAATCAACCTGCACATGACTTTTTTTTTATTCCTCTGAGAGTTAGCCTGTGGAAAGGTGGCAGGGTTTCACTGCATTATCCCCTGCAGATGGAAAGGTCAATGACAACATGTGTAATTGCTTCAGTCCTGATTTTCTACCTACACTTACTGCTGTGGGGTTGTTTCACCTGACCAAGGCAGTTTCTGTGGCAGCAGGTCCTAGCTCTCTCGACCAGGTCCACTGACAAAGCCACTTTGCTGAGTGGCCAATTTACTGATGACTATTTTGTTAAATTTGTTTCTGCTAACTATTTAAGGTTGACTAATTTTCTTGTGTCATAGTCTCAGCAAATGTGAAGGGATGGCTGGTCTATCTCTGACCTGGCTTTCTGCTTTGACAGATGGAAGCTAAAAGAAAAAAGGAAAAACTGATGGTGCAAAAGATAAACATATTTATATGAGTTTATTCTTGAATAAAATGATTTATTTTTAAAATATATTCTTGATATGATTTGGCTGTGTCCCCACCCAAATCTCATCTTAACTTGTAGTTCCCATAATCCCCATGTGTTGTGGAAGGACCCAGTGGGAGGTAATTGAATCATGGGGGCGGTTACTTCCATGCTGCTGTTCTCATAATAGTGAGTGAGTTCTCATGAGAACTGATGGTTTTATAAGGGGCTTTTCCCCCGTTTGCTCAGCACTTCTCCTTTCTGCCATCATGTGAAGGAGGACATGTTTGCTTCCCCTTCTGCCATGATTTTAAGTTTCCTGAGGCCTCCCCAGCCATGCTGAACTGTGAGTCAATTAAACCTCCCTTTTACAAATTACCCAGTCTCGGGTATGCCTTTATTAGCAGCGTGAGAACGGACTAATACAATTCTTCCGATGAATATATTCTTCTCATTGATAAATGCTTGATGTAAATGCTTAATTTTTCCTCTAGCTGCCTTCGAGATTTTTCTCATTGTCTGTGGTTTTCAGCAGTTCGGATACCTTACATATCGTTTTTATGAATCTTCCACAGAAATCAGTGGACACATGTGGCACAAAGAACATGTGAATTAAGAACGCACTCCTGAATAACATATTTTACATATATGTTATTGAGTATATTCTTAAATATAAATAATTTCTTGTGAATATATTTGGATTAATAAAAATATATTAATAAATATTAACTCATGCATATTCTTCTTACTCAAAAATATGTTCTTATAAATATATTAATTACTCCCTCTCTCTTCCCCCTAGTCTCCAAAGGTAACATCAGGGGCCAGAACAGAGACACAGAAATGTTCCTTAAAATGTCAAAATGAAATATTATCTATTAAAACAGAAGAATTAAAATAAACAAGAGAAGTTAGGTATTGGTCATCTGATGTTTGTAACCTCCAGCTTTCCCAGGAAACTTGGTTGGACCCTTTTCTTGTGTTCAGCTGTCAGAAGCTAAATGTTCCCTTCCTCTCTCTCTTTGCAGTCTGTTCGTGACATTTGGTATTCCTAATATGCCCACTTGGAGGAAATTGCCAGCTTAGGCCAACCAGGGTGAAATGCATGCGCTTATAAACTCATAAGCCCAATAATAATTTTCAGAAGGAGGCACTCATTCACTTCGGCTTATAAACTTGCAAATCTGTAGATTCATTAGTCTATCACTTACATGGAAAGACAAAATTTATATTTAATTGTTGAGACTTGACTTCAAAATTTTCAAGAATATCAACATTTGTTTTTGTTGTGCACCTCTCTGTCAAAAGGTAAATACGTAGTACAGAATCATTATTTATTTATTAATAATATACTCTGCATGGTCTTACATTTCATAGTTCATGCATTGTTTATTCATTAATATAACCTGTTAACGTTAATATGCACCACATTACCAAGAGCCCTTGTCAACTCCTCAGAAGCCACTAACTCCCAAGGTAACTATGACAACAAATCTCTTAATGCTTAAAGTGTAACAAAAAGATTGTGTGATTTGGATGTTAATTCAAATATTTCCCATACAACCCCATACAGCCACTTTGGAAGGGAAGTGGTTTCTCACAAAACTAAGTATACTGTCACTATAAGATCCAGTAATTGTGTCTTGGCATTTAACCAAAGGTATGGAAAACTGAGGTCAACACAAAAATCTGCACATTGATGTTTATAGGAGTTTTATTCATAATTGCCCAAAGGTGGAAGCAACTTCAGTAAGTGAATGGATAAACAAACTCTGGTACACTCATACAATAGAATGTTATTAAGTGATAAAAAGGTACACACTATTTAACTATGAGAAGACATGGAAAAAAAAAAAAAAACCTTAGAAGCCCATCGCTAAGTGAAAGAAGCCGATCTGAAAAGACTACATACTGTGTAAGCCGAACTATATGACATTCTTTAAAAGGCAGAACGATGAAGACAATGAAAAGTACAGTTGTTGCCAGGGATTTGCAGGGAGAAGGAGGGATCAATAGGTGGAGCACAGGGGACTTTTAAGGCAGTGAAACCATTCTGTAAAATGTCATGGTGGATATATGACATTACACATTTTCCAAACCCATAGAATATACAACACAAACAGTGCACCTTAATGAAACTGTTAATTTTAGTTAATAATAATAATGTATCAATATTGGCTCATTAATTGTAACAAATACACCAGACGAATGCAAGATATCTTAATAATAGGCATGATGAGCTAAGGAGGGTTTAAGGAACTCTCTGTATTGTCTGCTCAATTTTCTTGTAAATGTAAAACTGCCTCCCAAAATAATGTCTTTTTATTAAAGGAAAACATGCTGCTACCACTATGTGCTTAGTGTCCTATGCATTTCAAGTCTGGGTGGTATGTCTAGCAGAAATATATTAACATGTCCCAGGCTGATGGTACTGAATAAAGGATTTAGATGGCCATAAAAAGTGGATTTTGTATAATGGATTTCTGAGTTGATAAGAAAGCAGTATGAGTATATCACCATAATACAAAACTTAGTGATTTGAAATAAGGCAAACATATCATCCATTTTGCCAGTGTAATGATAACACACACGTTGTATAAACAGATATTGGAACATCAGTTTGTCACTGGGTGTTCAGGATGTAGAATATACATCAACTTAAATTTTCACATTTAGTAAAGCTCTAGCTTCCTCTTATGCTAGCTCCATAAATAAGACAAATTTTTTCTCTCATCCTCTCTGATGGCCAATGCCGGCCTAAACTCTTGCCTGTTAGGAATTAGTACACATCTCCTAGCTCAGAGACACCTACACGAGTGACTCTTGGCCAGTGGAACCTGGTTCACTGTGCCCTCCAGTGTGGGGCCAGGCATTGTTCGTGATCTGCCCGTCTCGGCCTCTCAAAGTGTTGGGATTACAGGCGTGAGCCACCGCGTCCGGCCCCATCTGTTATTATTCAAGGTATTTTAGTGCATCACCGCACACACGATTTTGGGTCTTGCCATTATTTTGTTATCCCAGTACTTGAAAAAGAGAGACATTCTGACTGGCATTAACTCAACATTTTGTGTGATGGACTATTACATATGGCTCGGAACGCATTTTTGTTTGCTATATAGAAATGATCTTCTCTTCCGTGTGATAAATAATACAGCTAAAAGTCTCAGAATTAATCAAACTTACCATCAATTAATTTCAAATTTTTGACTAGCTTCCTTAAGTATTTAAATTATTATGATTTTCAAAATAACCTTGAAAGTCATTCAGTCAAAATGGCTTTGAAATAAAATCATCATATGTTAAAGTAAGAAATTATATCCTACATAATAAGGACAATAGATACATTAAAATAGTCTCATCAAGTATTTGTCTTTAGTTAGTAGTTATTTCTCCAAGAAAGTATTAACTTCAATTTTGAACAAAGTTTTCTTTCTTTTTCTGGCAGTATCAGCCTTTTGCCAAGCTGAACACAAGAGGATGAAAAGAAAATCTGGGCTCGAATGTGCAATTTCATATTTTCTGTTAAGGCAATTTACAACATATCATAAAGCTGCATTAATAAACAGATGTTCCACAGTCTGCAGAATATAAAATAAATGTCTTGAATAAGCTACGAAGACCAAGGCACTTTTTGGAGCAGATTTTTTTGTCTTAAAGTTTTATCTCATGCAAACACTGCATATAATATGAACTTATATAATCAATGCTTTTAGCAATATGTCATAGTAGAACTGAGGCCCAGTTGTTAGCTGAAATCTATATAAATATAGGTATGTAGAATAGTTAGGAAATATAAATATTAGCATATGCTGTTTATTGTTGATGATATCAATAATTCTTTCATGAACTCAGAAAAGTTTTTTCTCTTTATATTCAAAATGAAGTTTTCTAATTACTCTCTTTTTCACAGGGTTCTCCCCCTCTGCAAATTATACCCATTACAGCTATTTCTTTTAAGTAAATATCTCCTTCAAGTCAGTCTTAGTTTCTCCAACACCTAGACAATGCCTGGCACATGTAAAGGCATTCAGAATACAAGTAAATGCATGCATAAAATGAATAAATATATTTAGAAGATATTTATAGACATGTCATAGGAATTTGGGGGCCAAGAAGAGGGATTCTAGCTTTTGGGTAGATACAATTGCAGATAATAACAATAACTTACAAGGCGCCTAAAATATCAAGTTACCGTTCTAAATGTGTTAGATCTATTGGTTCATATAGTGCTTGCAAAAGCCCTTGAAGTATACTTTTATTATACTTACCATTATATAAATAGAGAAACTAAGGCAGGGAGAGGTTATGTTGTTCCAGGTTCACGTGACAATTCAATGGCAGAGCTTGATTCAAATTTCATACTTTTAACTTACGTACAATTTTGCCTACCATCAAGACATTCTTCTTGCTGAATGGAACAAGGCCCTCAAAGGGAATTTATGGAGTACTGTTACACATAAATAACTCTGAATATAAGTAATTCTTCTGTGGAATGATTTCATCTTATATTCTCAGAGAATGACACATTTTATGTCAAATAAGTACAGGAGAAAGAAAATGATTTTATAAATGTTACTAACACTATCCTAACAAATGGAAGAGATATGATAAACTTTACATTCTAATTTGAAATTTATGAAAATCATACACAAAACACTGTTTTGAGTAGACTCTATCTCTTATTTTTGTGAGGACAAAATATCTAATACATTTATTTTATGAAATAAATACTTAGGAATTATTTTATTTGTTGTTGTAAGGAATTATGCCTGCTGAAATGGACAAAGCATTGTGATTAGTGTTGGGTGTTTTGGCTCAGACTAACCTAAAGGGAACAAAGAGGAACAACCAGATGGTGAAACGGAGGTTCCTCCATCCTCTGATAGCTTGACTACCATTGCATTTTAGTAAATCCTTAAATCATATACTATGATTATGACAACAATTTTTTTTTGTAATTGATGATGGAGTTGATAAGTTCTTGTATACCGTTGCTTGTTAGATCAGGAGAGACTCAGGACAGACATCAGGAAGAATTTTCTAGCTGGGGTGTTGTTAATCACTTGCCCACAGTAAAAAAAGCCTGCAGAACAGTCTTTTTTTGATGAGAGTTAAGGCAATAAGACAATTAATAGTCTAACCCAGTAACAGCTGAATTGGCCAGATATCCTTTAAGGCTTCTCAGAAGCCTCCTCAGCACATGAACTTGAGCTCTTACATAATTTTCTCATTCATAGTGACTGCATTGTGCTTGCAATCTCATGTCCTATTATTTAAGGTACTTAGTGCATCACTGCATACATGACCTTAGGTCTTGCCATTATTTTGTAATCCCTGTACTGGAAGAAGAGAGACATTCTGACTGGCATTAACTCAACATTTTGTGTGATGAACTATTACATGTGGCTCAGAATGCATTTTTGCCTGCTATACAGAAATGATCTGTTAATTCTATGTGATAAACAATACTGCTAAAAATCTCAGAATTAATCAAACTTACCATCAATTAATTTCAAATGTTCACTAATTATTAGCGAGAGAGGAGTGTTGAATTATCTAATCATAATTGTACATTTGTTTATTTCTTCTTTTAGTTCAATTAATGTTTGCCTTTTGCCAAATTTGGGTAATTTTTCCTGTTAGGTTTTCAAAATTTTTTCAGCACTGCACTCCTTTTCCTTTTCTCCTTCTGAGACTCAGATGACATGTATGTTGGAACTTTAGTTATTGTTCCTCAAGTCTCTAAGGCTCTAATCAAGACTTTTTCATCTTTCTTTCTCTCTATTGTTCAGATTAGATAATTTCTGTTGATTTATAGTCGTGATAACAGATCCTTACCTCTTTAGTTTTATTGTAATAAAAAGCTTACTTAGAATTTTGTATGTCAGTTATTGGATTTTTTGGTCCTAATATATTCATTTTGTTCCTTTTTACATCTTCTATTTATTTTCTGATACTTCTAGTTTTCCATTGGTATAAAAGTGTTTGCGGCCGGGCATGGTGGCTCACGTCTGTAATCCCGGCACTTTGGGAGGCCGAGGAGGGCAGATCATGGGGTCAAGAGATCGAGACCATCTTGGCCAACATGGTGAAACCCCTTCTCTACTAAAAATACAGAAATTAGCTGGACGTGGTGGCGCATGCCTGTAGTTCTAGCTACTTGGGAGGCTGAGGCAGGAGAATCGTTTGAACCCGGGAGGCCGAGGTTGCAGTGAGCCTAGATTGCGCCACTGCACTGTAGCCTGGGTGACAGAGTGAGACGCGGTCTCAAGAAAAAAAAAAAGTGTTTGCGACCACTTGTTGGAACATTTTTATAAAAGCTGCTTTAAAATCCTTGTGATGTAATTCAAATTTATTTTTCTTCTCAGTATTGGTAGCTACTTAGTACTGACTGTCTTTTCTCATGTGGGGTGCAGTTTATCTGGTTTTTTTTGTAATTTTGGATTGTGTCATGGACATTAAGTTTTGAGGCTCTGGGTCTTCATAAAATATTAGGCGGATTGATGCTATTTTTGTTTTAGAAGCAATTGACCTTGTCATATTCAAGCTGCAAGTTCCAATCTCTGTTTTGTGAGCTGTGGTTCCAACAATCAGTTGAGTTTTCAAAGCCTTTCCAGTTTGCTTCAGATATGTCCTGGTGGTCAGTGTGGAACTCGGATGATAATCTGCTAGCTTCGTTCTCAAAATCTTTGGTTAACTAATTAGGAGCAGATCCACACACATGCAGCTTGGGGATGCGCTCAGTCCATTAAAAACTTTATGGTGTCACTTTCTCATACTCCTTCCTCTCCACAGTGTCTCCAATATTTTCTGGTTTCCTGGAGCTCCTCTTTTCTGTTTTCTGGCCAGAATGCTGGGTCTTTGATTACGGTACTCTGCTACAGTGTTTCATGGCTGCACCCATGTTTGGAGCCAGGTGACAGGTGGCAAAATGAGAAAAGACTTCAAAAAGTTTGCATCACCCTCTTGGGATCATAACTGCACCAACTGGAGAGGAAGATGCCCTGGCCTCAGGGTTTTGTTTCTCCTAGGCACCGCCTGCTGCTGCCACCACAGGAATTCTTGGGGGCCAGATCACAAGGGCTCAGAGAAAACAAACAACAACAAAACGGAGGGATTTCTGCATTCCCTCAGAGTAATAAGAGTCCTCTTTCCCGCCCAAACTTGTAGGGCTTATCCTTGATCTCAGCAATTGCTGAGAAACTGTTTCACCCTTTACATGGAAAACAGACTTTCTTGTTTGCCTCATCCCTACCAGTGTCTTTCTGCCTACACCTAAGTTCAATTACCAGCTGCCCTTTATCATTGAACTTAATGCTTTCTTCTCATAGTAGAATTAAGAGGAAAGTAAAATATTTTTTGTACCTATATCTTTATTATATTTAGACAAATCACAGAGTGAGAGAGTAGGGGTTTCAAGAAAAATAGGAGAGAGACAAAGGAGAGAGAAAGAACTGCTTGTGGAAATACAGAATATCCCACATTTTCAATGTGGAAAGTGTATGAGGGTCTGAAAGAAAATACTCAGTTTTTTTTTGTCCTGTAAGAGGCAGCATTGACAAATGTGTACCAGAGTTTGGGTACATTTGAGCCAGTTCTTCAGAATCGTGGGGTGGGTAATAGAACAAAATTATTTACACCTAATTCTAGGCAGATAAGTGTGCTTCAAGGAAAGGCAAGGGCCTGGCTAGATTCTAGATGTTTTTAAACTGGAGGCCAGAGACAGCTTTAGGGAGTCTATATACAGGCACAGATTTATTTCTTTTATATTCTTCTTGCTCTTTGAAAACGGTCTTTATGCAAATACACACTATATAACCAAAGTTTCTCTTTGTTCCAGGCAGCAGTAGGGCTTATGGGAGCCATTGTACAGTGACAGGAACATACCAGGACACTGAGAATAGCGTCATGTCATAAGGACTCAGAGCAGGTGGACCCTGCTGTGATGCACAAAGGTGAGGGTGCAGCTGCCCAGGACACACTCATGCATGTTTGTGTGGACCATGGAAGATGGCAGGGGAAGAGCTGTCAGGTTGCTGGGGCAGAGGGTGCGCATGAGTACTCGCCTGTAAGTCATGTTGTAGAATCACCTCGCACAGCCGCTGTATCTTCCCACCAGCATCACCAGATAACTCCTTTATCGTCACTTCAGTAATGCTTGATTTTGTCTGACTTTTTTATGTTTACCAGTTCAGATAAAGAGAATTGCACTCTCATCATTGCTATAATGTACACTTTTTTGACTACTAATGAGTCTGAGAATCTTTAGATACATTTGTTAGTCATTAATGTTTTTTCTCTCTCTTTTTTTCTGTTTTTTGAGATGGAGTCTTACTCTGTCGCCAGGCTGGAGTGCAGTGGCATGATCTCGGCTCACTGCAACCTCTGCCTCCTGGGTTTAAGTGATTCTCCTGCCTCAGCCTCCTGAGTAGCTGGGGCTACAGGTGCCCCCCACCACACCCAGCTAATTTTTGTATGTTTAGTAGAGATGGGGTTTCACCATGTTGGCCAGGCTGGTCTCAAACTCCTGACCTCGTGATCCGTCTGCCTCGGCCTCCCAGAGTGCTGGGATTACAGGCGTGAGCCACCGCGCCCGGCCATGTTTTCTCTTCTTAATCTGTTTGTACTTTCATTTACTTTTTCTTTCTTTTTTAATAAGAGGTTTTTATTTTGGATATCAATCTTTATATCTTCAATGATGTTGTGAATATCTTTTTGTTCCCACTAGCTTTTCTTACAAACTTTTATTCCTAGTGTCTTGTTGCACAGAAATTTTATTTTATTATGGTCAATTTTGTCAGCCTTTGTCTTTATAATTTGTATGGGGTTCTTTTCTTCTTTGTTTTTGATTTGTATAAAAGTGATGTTTTTACCCTAAAGTCAAAAGTTAAAATTTAATGTTTTCTTCCTATTTCAGAGGACCATGCAAGATATGATAAAGATCTATGTCACTGAATTTTGTTTCTGTATTTGTATCTCAGCTTCCCAGAAATAAAAAAGAATTCTAACATTCATACTTTCAGTATTTTATGTGAGAGGTTTTGTTGTCAAAATCAAGTCTGAGAGCAATGTTTATTGGGGCCTTTCATTGGAGTCACCAAGCAATAAAGGGGACATTGTCTTCAACAATAACCCTATAATAAACACGTTTTGGACAATAAATATATGACAATTTCTTAAAAGCAATTTCTTGGGCAATCAAGACAATATGGCTTGAGTATGGAGTTATATGATGGTCTGGATTAATCCAGTATTAAATCTCTGGTTATTACAGAAATCAGTGGAGCCTATTCTTCCAAATAATCCTTAAATATTACTTATCTCAACTGAGATTTTGGTGAAAATTTAGCTTTAGAGCTTTTATTGACCTGCCAATGACCTGAAGTTAAGATTATTCTTTTCCACTGAATGAAGACAAACCACCTTATAAAAATTAACCCAGAAGGCTGTAGAGGTGATTTGTTTTCTTTATTTCTGATGACAGTTAAATAGCTTGACTAAAACTCTTGGTTCCCTAAATGGCTTTTCTGCTTTTGGATGGTGGTAGCCTGGGGAACGTAAGGAAAGCAGATATCTCCCAAAACTGGGAATAAAATACATGGTTTATTCCAATACATTCCAGGAAACCCCATTTCCAAGCTCTTTAAACTAAAACATTACTGTGAACATGTTGGCCTAAGATTTTTCAGAGCCAGAAATTTTCAGAGCAATAGCTGCCAGTTGCCACCATGATGTTAGGAAATTCTCATTAATTCTTACATGATGGTTGTCTACATAGAGATGAAACACTTGACTAAATTGTCAGCAGCACAATTGTATCCATACAGACAGATAGAACAAATCCAATGCTGTGATGTAGTTTAAATGTGCACATGTTAACTGATTAGAGAGCTAGAAAATGGAGGGTATTTTTAGCAGCATATGATAAATATATTTCTGACTGTTGAATATTGTTTAACTGCTTTGTTCTAGTTACTGGGGATTATATAGTAGGAAGTAATACAGACAGATGTCACGTCCTGATGGGCCTTGTATTTCAGGGAAGAAATGGGATTTTGTTGGCGCCAAGACCTGATTGCTTTGCCAGTTACCCTCACCCCTGGCTCACGAGGAAAGTGTATTAAGGAGATTCTCGAGGAACCACATGAGTTTTAATATCATAAGCTTCTGCCCTGAATTGAAAGGTAATTTTTTGTTGAGGAAGGCTGAGCCACACTTATCCACAATGCCTCCTTTGGCATAGACCCCAGATAACCCAAAGTGTGTTCTCTCAAACAGATGGAGAAAACTAGAGGATAGAAAATATCAAGAGTGTTACTGAGGATGCTGCCAGCTGAACCACCATTTATGTTTTTCATAGAACAAAACTTCAAGGAGTTTAAGTAGTCAGAGTGTGGCCAGCCTTTCCTTGGAAGTATTTATGCAAGGAAGATGTTTTATATTCTGGAAGAGGGCATATGTGAAGGGCATTTCAGAATGATGTAAGGTGTATGCACAGGTCATGTGATGGAGTGGTCTGGGGTAGCAGGACATGTGACAGGCCTGGAAGTTCGCCACTACAAGCATGGAGCCCATATCCACAACATCTTCAAGCGCAGAAGCTGGGCTGTGGGGTGGAGTAGTTCACGCCAAAAATCACAACTTCGTTTGGAAAATGAGAGGGAAGAGAAACTTCCCTAAAGAGAATTAGAAAAAGTAAAACTCGTGAGGTAAAGCTGTATAGATTTGAAATAATAAATCCTTACAATTTTTACTTCCACTGGTCGATGGCAGAGTTTCTTAATCTTAGCAGTGTTAACCTTTTGAGTCAGATAATTTTTAATTCTTCTTGCAGAGGAGAAGGGAGGGTACAGGCTGTTCTGTGCAAGATGGCATGCTTAGCAGCATCCATAGCCTGTACTCTCTAAGTGCCAGTAGCAACCCCCAGTTTTGACAACCCAAGATGTCTCCAGACATTTTCTTCCCTGGAGGCAAAAACAGCCCTGGTTGGGAAGCACTGGTTTATGAATAGAAATAAAACTGTAGTGTTCTCCAGCCAAACAAACAACAATAAAATTAAACAGCATATTTTCAATTTATTGCCTTCCTTGGCTAGTACATAGCTCACTATAATTAAAGCTTCCCATCAGAAATTCTTCCTCGGTTAAAAACAAAAAAAACTATGAAGAGAAGCAATTTAGTAAGCTGGGTTTTAGGAATATGCTGTTAATTTTGCCTAAAATGTGGCATGCAAGGGAAAGTTATGTAATCATTTTAAGTAAGTGTTTCATTAAAAAAAAAAAACCCTTAAAATGGTTTGATTCAAAAATACTGAAATCTCTTATCATAGAAGCATAAATCTGAATAGTTTGGTTATTTAAATATAAGTTACTGTGAAATCATCAAGGAACATAGCTAATCGAACCTACCATTGTAGCCTACATCATCCTGTGCATTTCACAAAATCCTAATGAAAAACTACACGAAGCTCAAAGTATAGATAAACATATCAGTGTTGACAACCGTGAAACCACGCTATCCAAAGGCTACGAGCTCTGAGGAATTCCTGTTAGCTACAGCACATGTAGGATCAATGAAGGAAGAAAATGAAGGCTCCTGGGAGACAAAATTATGCCAGGACAAAGCTGAAGAAGAGCAACACCTGTCGGAAATGTCCTAAGATAAATTTCGAAAGCTGCCAGGCTTGGAGGTGGGGCAGGCACCGCCGGAAGAGACACCTTCCCTTTGGGGCTTTCTTTGCCTGTGACAAGAACAGCACCTGATGCCCTTAGAATAGTTCCTGGAACATCTGAATAAATATCTGCGAAATGGCTGAATCAGGGGCGGGGACTGGCGTTCAGGTGGGGGCCCCCTCAATAGTATGACCACAACGGAGGCTCCACCTGGCAGGGAGCTGCTGACTCCTGATGCTACAGGAGCTCGTCTTTGTATTAGGAGGTCCTGTTCTACTTCCAGTTGCAAATATTACATATATTTGTGTGTGTGAGTGCATATATATTAATATATATTCACCACCGCCCAACAAGTTCCCCTTGCCCCCTGCCTAGACAGAGCTGATTTATCAAGACAGGGGAATTGCAATAGAGAAAGAGTCATTCTTGCACAGCCAGCTGGGTGGGAGACTGGAGTTTTATTATTGCTCAAATCAGTCTCCCCGAGCGTTTGGGATGAGAGTTTTTAAGGGTAATATGGCAGAGGCTCAGGAAGCGGGGAGTGCTGATTGGTCAGGTTGGAGATAGAATCACAGGGGGATCAAAGTGAGGTTTTCTTGCTGCCTTCTGTTCCTGGGTGGGATCGCAGAACTGGCTGAGCCACATTACCGGTTTGGGTGGTGTTGATGGCAGCGGCCCATCTGGAGAGGCTGCTGCCAAGATGCCGGCTGCAGCAGGGGAGGCGCCGCAGGGCGGCGCACTTTGTGGAGCCGGCGGGAGCCCTGGCCGCTTCTGAGCTGCTGGGGAGGGAGCCCTGCAGTCCCAGGCGCAAGGGCAGCTGCCCAGCCATGGCTTCGGACCCGGGCATCCCTGTCCTCTCGGGAGGGGGTTGGGGGCGGTGGGGAGGGGGTTGGGGGCGGTGGGGAGAGGGGGGTGCATGGGAAGCCTATATTAGACCAAATAAATATCATGATATATTTTGTGTATTTATTTTTTAACCCATACCAATCCAAGCTAGATTTTCTTACTGATTTAGTTACTTTGCTTGTTTATTAATCTCATTATGTAGAATATATTTTGGAAGTTGCCTTAATAGTTTTTAGAGGAAAACAGGATAAAAATAAATAAATATGTAAAAGATGCCAGTTTTCCTTATATGTATATGTAATGGTGTAAAAAAAGCACTAAATAAAATGATCAGTATAGTGGCTAGGGAAATAATTAAAGTTAGGTTTTTGGGCCAGGCGAGGTGGCTCACGCCTGTAATCCCAGCACTGTGGGAGGCCGAGGCTGGTGGATCACCTGAGGTCAGGAGTTCAAGACCAGCCTGGCCAACATAGTGAAACCCCGTCTCTACTAAAAATACCAAAATTAGCTGGGTGTGGTGGCAGGTGCCTGTAATCCCAGCTACTCAGGAGGCTGAGGCAGGAGAATCGCTTGAACCTGGGAGGCGGAAGTTGCAGTGAGCAGAGATCGCACCATTGCACTCCAGCCTGGGTGACAGAACGAGACTCTGTCTCAAATAAATAAATAAATAAATAAATAAATAAATAAATAAATAAAATAAAGTTAGGTTTTGAAGGAATTGAGATCATAAAAATGTATTTCAGAAAAGGATGCAGCAAATATCTTTTGAAAATGCAAGGGCAGAGGTATTTCTGGCAGAAGTAATGATATGAGACATTTACTACAATATCGCTTCTACTTATGCTCCTGTAGTTTACTAAAGGCAATTATTGTTTCATTGGAAATGTAATTAATGATCATGACCCTCAGTACCACAGATTGGGAGCCACGAGGCTGGCCCTGGGCTGACTGTGGTTGGACTCACTCAGGAACCGGCTTGGCTGGTGTCTTTTAAATAACTGCTGCCAGCTACTGCCAGAAGTTGCAGGATGGGAGGAAGGGAAGCTGACTGGCCCAGCTGATCCATAAACAGCCCTTTAATAGCACTGCAGTTGCTTGTGATGCATGCCTGGGATTCTAGGTTTGTGTCTTTCTTTTGTGAGGGGTTTCTATCTCACCCTCAACTCTGTTCTTTGCATCGTTTGGGCTACACATCCCAGTGTGTTCCCATCTCCTGCCCTCTAGTCTGCTGAAGGTTTTGCATCCTGTTCTCAGCATGGACACGTATCTTCTCTTTTGTCCATCACATGGTCATTTCAATAGGATGTTGGTAGAATAGGAAGAAGATGCACATGTGTTTAACTAATCATTTTTAATTAGAAAGCCAGAGGTTGAATTGAAAAACAACTCATATTGAAACTGCATTTGCAATAATTATAACAGTGAGAAAATTATGGCAGTGGGGAAGATCTAATATAGCCAAC
Source organism: Homo sapiens (assembly GCF_000001405.40). Lineage (NCBI taxonomy): Eukaryota > Metazoa > Chordata > Mammalia > Primates > Hominidae > Homo > Homo sapiens. Next base: position 39,743,545 of record NC_000009.12, on the reverse strand, counting down.
TTCCCTCTTATATTTTACCTTCATGTTGCCTTAATTATTACCAGGCTTAGGATGGGCTAGCTTTGGGAGACATGTAGTTTACAGTTTAAATGATAATAGTCCTTCTCCAAAACTCAATCACCTTTATAAAGCTAATGAGAGACCACCAGGCTAGGAGGAGAAGAGCCTGAATTCGGCAAAGGGGTAGACATAAAAGACTGCCAGCCATTATTCCAGAGGTCACGAGATATGCAACTTTTCCAATTACTCCTGCAGATAACATCACTACTGTAGAACCCAAGATTGGCCTTTTGAGATAGCCTTTCAGATATTTTGCGTGTTTGGCACCAATTATGGTGCCTTCTGAACCCACCAACTGCTCATGTGGCCCCATGCAGAAGCAGAAGCCATTCAGCACAGAGCAGGATATTTTCCCATGTTAAGATTGCACCCCCAAAACAATCAGCAGAAAGCAGCCATTGCCTAGCCACCCTCATCACTTCCCCCAAATTACCTTTGAAAGAACCCTAACCTACAAGCTTTTGATGAGTTTGATTTAATAACTCCACCTCCTGTGTGGTGTGGCTGGCTTCACATCAATTAAATTCTTCCTTTACTGCAATGCCCTGGTCTCTGTGAATTGATTTTTTTTGTGCAGCAGGCGGGAAGAACCCATCAGGAGGTTACAGTATGGTTGTTGAACTTTTCGATTTATGGAGTTTTAAAATATAATTACCAATATGTGTCTTCATAAAATACTTTTACACTATGACACTATACAATATTTTTATTAGATCTTATTTGTTATTCATGATTTTTCATCCTAATTTTTAAAACTATGATTTTTATTAGACTTTTATTTACAATTTTTATTATGAAAATTTTCAAACATACATGGAAGTAGAGACAAAAGTAATAAAACCCAATGTATTCCTTACACTCTACTTCAATAATTATAAATATATGGAGTAGTCTTAAAATTTCATATATATCCCTCCCACAAACACACACTCAAGCATAATTTTAGCACAAACCCCAGACATCATATTATATCATTTTAAAATATATAGCTATGTATCTTTAAGGGAAAGGACTTTTAAAATACATGATAGTAGTACCATTAACACAACTAAATAAATTAACAGTAATTCCTTAATATCATCTAATGTTTGGTGTTCAGGTTTTCATGATTGTCTCACAGATCTCTTTTTCAGTGAGAATCCAAACAAGTCCACGCACACTGCATTTGGTTGACAGAGGTTTTTGACAGAGCAGGAGCATCGCCATCATGGACAAGTACCACCATTCTAAAGTTCCCCTTGATCCACCTAAAAACCACCTAAATCCAAAGGGCATCAGCCTAATGGCTAAGGTCAGCATGACCATAAACCACAAATGACATGTCCAACCAGAAACATTCCAACCATAGGATAAACCCCTCCCTGACCAGAGACATGCCAGCCCCCAGATAACCTCCCCTCCAGCTGGAGAGATGTCAGCCCCAAGAAAACCTCCCCTCTGACCATAGACATTCCAACCCCGCCATGAGCTTCTCCCCCATACAGAAACATTCCAAGCCTGTGATAAGCTCTCTCACCAATAAATACTCTTACTCTGGAAGAGAGAGTGTTCCTAACCGAAATCGGCCAGAAGCCCCTCTCAGGTTTATTCTCCAAAATAAACCTGTCTTTGACTCTTAAGCCACTTTTCATGTTTCTTTCCTCTTTCTTTAACTTTAACAGTTTTAATTGATCACAATATCTTCTTCCCACCTGACTCCATGTATTTGCAGAAAAAACTAGGTCATTCGCCTGTAGAATTTCCCACATTTTGTGTTTGGCTTAGTGCAGCCTTATGGTATAATTTAACACATATAAACTGATAGTTAGAACAAGAGGTTGATTTAAGTTCTTTTAGTTTTATATTCTTTTGGCAAGAATACTTCAAAGGTGGTGCAGTGTGCTTCCTATTGAATCATATTCAGAGGCATGTAATGTTGGATTTTCTTTCTCTTATCAGACTTCTTAATTTTAGTTGTTCCAGTACATAAAAATTAGTATGTTATCATGGTCTGTGATTACTAATCATTTAAGAGTTTATGGGGATGTAAGTTACTTGCTCCTGCTTTGCTGTCTGCCACGAGTAAAAGCCCCCTGAAGACTCCCCAGAAGCAGATGCTGCCATGCTTCCTGTACAGCCTGTGGAACGTCATTGAAATTATAAGACTATCATTCAAATGGAAGCATTACAGTTCTTTGGAAACATTATTATTTCAAAATGAAGGAGAATGATACAGATACACTGGCTGAGGTGTTTTGAGGTGCATTGAAAAGTTCCAAGCTGTTACTTACCTTAACATGTTCTTGAGGTACCATGGCATGGATTAAAAGGAAATTTGGTAAGTGGCCTCCATTTAAACGACTTACTAGGGAAGCTATGTGAAATTATTTAAAAGGGTAAGGGGATCAAATAGTACTTAGCCTTCATGCAAAAGTTGTACAGAAGTCATATGGAAATGAAAAAAGGTTTTTTTTGCCCTCCCCCTTGTGTATATCTTATGGGCAGTGGATGGAAGAAAATAAAATAACAAATGAAATGCGATGGTTGTTCTGAACAAGGGTCTCAACCATGTGCATTTATTGGCATAGGAAATAGTGACCAAGAAATGCAGCAGCTAAACTTGGAAGGAAAGAACTATTGCACAGCCAAAACATTGTACATATCTGATTTAGACAAGCAAAAGCACTTCATGTTGTCTGTAAAGGTGTTCTATGGCAACAGTGATGACATTGGTGTGTTCCTCAGCAAGTCATCCAAACCTTCCAAAAAGAAGCAGTCATTGAAAAATGCTGACTTATGCATTGCCTCAGGAAAAAAGGTGGCTCTGTTTAATCGACTACTATCCCAGACAGTTAGTACCAGATACTTGCACGTAGAAAGAGGTAATTTTCATGCTAGTTCACAGCAATGGGGAGCATTTTACATTATTCTTGGATGATGATGGATCAGAAGGAGAAGAATTCACAGTCTGAGATGGCTACATTCATTATGGACAAACAGTCAAACTTGTGTGCTCAGTTACTGGCATGGCACTCCCAAGATTGATAATTAGGAAAGTTGATAAGCAGACCACATTATTGGATGCAGATGATCCTGTGTCACAACTCCATAAATGTGCATTTGACCTTGAGGATACAGAAAGAAAGTACTTATGCCTTTCTCAAGAAAGAATAATTCAATTTCAGGCCACTCCATGCCCAAAAGAACCAAATAAAGAGAAGATAAATGATGGTGCTTCCTGGGCAATCATTAGCACACATAAGGCGAAGCATACATTTTACGAGAGAGTGGGCCCTGTCCTTGCCCTGGTCATGCCTCCGCCTGTCGTAGAGAGCCTTAAGTTGAATGGCGGTGGGGACGAACCAATGCTTGAACTTACAGGACAGAATTTCACTCCAAATTTACAAGTGTGGTTTGGGGATGTAGAAGCTGAAGCTATGTACAGGTGTGGAGAGAGTATGCTCGTGTTGTCCCAGACGTTTCTGCATTCTGAGAAGGTTGGAGATAGGTCCAGCAACCAATACAGGTTTCAGTAACTTTGGTCCGAAATGATGGAATCATATATTCCACCAGCCTTACCTTTACCTACACACCAGAAGCAGGGCCGCGGCCACATTGCAGTGTAGCAGGTGCCATCCTTCAAGCCAGTTCAAGCCACGTGCCCCCTAATGAATTAAACACAAACAGCGACGGAAGTTACACAAACGCCAGCACAAATTCAACCAGTGTCACATCATCTACACCAACAGTGGTATCCTAACTACCGTCTTTTTGCTAAGACTTAAACGGACTTGAGTGCAGCAAAAAGTTGACAAAAAAGGAGAAAAAAATGAACAGTCTTTTGTGGTTTATTGGGAAAACTTTTCACACCAGGTGATACTATTCTAAAACCCCACTATCTATCTGCAAGTGCTGATTTGAAATGCAGAAGCCACAGTAAAACAAAAAAACATCAAAATGTAAAAACTTGGAAATTAATTTTTTCAGCTGTTTTGTTGGTTGGTTGGTTGGTTGGTTGGTTGGTTGGTTTTTGTTTGGTTTTGTTTAAGTGGGCAAGAAGTAAATAATGTGGCTGGAATACAAGTTGAACAAACTAGAAGACATAAATCTAACATAGTTTTTATGGACCAAGTAACTTGTATATTGTATAAGCTTTAGTAAAAGGTACATTTTCACATATTCACCATACCCTTTTTTATATCATGGTATTATAGTACATCTTGTCACCAAAGAGGTTGTTCTCTTCCCCACTCACCTTTGAGCTTTTGCTTTAAAATACATTCAGGTTCCAAGCCTGGCCATGCTTGCTTAATCTAATTATCATGTTCTTCCAAGTTTTTTTTTGGTCCGAGGCTAGAGCTTTTTTTTTTTTTTCCAGCTGAAGTCTTACGACTTTTCGTGAGTCAAAATTGTTTGGATTTCAGCAAGTCAAATCTTGTGAAGGCCTACATTTTTTTTTAAGATTATGTGAAGTCTGTGCAAAAGCTTTAAAAAGCTGCCTCTGCCTTGCCTGCAACACATGCAATGTATGTTAACTTAGTCTCTCTTCGCAGACACTGTTGGTAGTTATTTCTGCATTTTCCTTTTTTTTAAAAAAAGTATTTCTAGTGGTTATCCAAGAGGTTCTAACATTCACATGCAATTTGGTGTGGCCATTTTGCCATAAATGAGTTAATAGCGCAGAACATGTTGATATTTGAAGTGTTCTCTCTCCTTTTCCCATAACGTAAATACATTATGTGTGTTCCAGGATTTGTTCAGGTTTTTCCCCGCTCCTGATCTTGTACATAACTTGTATTACGTATAAGTTAAACATTTCATTTTGAACTTGGAATGTTCCCAGTGATTTCATCCAGCAGAGTATTTTCTGCCTTGTTGGCAAGTGACAAAAAATATCATGAGAAGCATCTGCTACCAGTTGGGAGATGGTGCCCTTATGGTAGAATGAGGAAGATCTCAGCAAAAGCATGTTTTATTAACTTTACTTTTTGGGGGTGTTGGAGGGGGTAGCCTAGGCCAGAACATCATTGTAATCTTAAAACATAAGATGCTTTTATTAGATGATCAACTAAAATAGCTGGAAGACAGTACTTTAGAAACAGATAGTTGTAAGATTATGAAATGCAAATGTAACTTGTGTTTTTATTTTTCTTTTCCCTGCCTTTTTTGTTTGTTTTCTCTTCTCCAGTACTGAGCATCTCCACAAATGTCTCCTAACTCAGAAAATGTTTCTTTTCCTTTCAGCTGAGATTTGGTTGCATTCAGGGTTGTACATTGGCCTTGCATGCGAAACTCGGCAGTTGTACCTTGCTTTCATTCCTGAACTTCGCTTAGCTTTTGTTCGGATTCTTCGAAATTGCAGCAGACTCTTTGGGCTACATTTAGTACAAGAACCACGTGCATAATATGATACGGCACAGTCTAGTAATACAATCATCCTTCTTAGAGTAAAAACTACCTCTAGATTGTGGTAAGCTTTTACTGTCCCATAAAACAGGAGCCACGGTAATTTGTGAATGCAAAACTGTAACTTCCTACAGTGTTTCCATACAGAACATTGTCTTTCTGGTTTCCTGGGCTATTTTGAAAAAAATTTCATTAATAGACTTTTCAGAAATTATTATTAGTAGCATTTTTTTCCAGCTTTGCTGTTTTCATCACTCATTCTTTGCTCAGACTCCAGCATTCAGTACCGTGTTGGTCCAGATGTAGGTTTATATGCTCATTTTTAGCTTATTTCTTGTACCTTGCAGCACACTCTACGCACTCAGCCCTTAAGGGGTTTACTTTACAAACTGTGTGCCTGTAAGATGTATTAGCAATAAGATAGAAAATTGAGCAAGTTTATACCATAATTTTGTAGAAAAAAAGAATCTGCTCAATTCCATATTTCATCCATGAAAAACTTGCAATACGAGCAGTTTCAAGGAATAAGAAGAAAAAAAAAAGAGTTTATAGGTCGGCCAGGTCTGATGGCTCACGCTCGTAATCCCAGCACTTTGGGAGGCCGAGGCCAGCGGATCACTTGAGGTCAGTTCGAGACCAGCCTGGCTGACATGGTGGAACCCCTGTCTCTACTAAAAACAAAAACAAAAACAAAAATTAGCCAGGTGTGGTGGTGTGTGCCTGTAGTCCTAGCTACTCGAGAGCCTGAGGCATGAGAATTGCTTGAACCTGGGAGGTGGAGGTTGCAGTAAGCCGAACTTGTGCCACTGCACTCCAGCCTGGGTGACAGAGTGACACTCGGTCTCAAAAAAAAAAAAATTTTTATGGGTCATTTGTGGTTTATTTATTTCTGCAAAATGTCCATTCCCATCTTTAGCCCACTTTTAATTGGGTGATTTTTTTTAGTAAGAAAAACTTTATATATTAAACATTGATTTTTAAATTATTTACTATATCCAATCAACAGCTTTCTTTAAGAACTCTCTAATGCAAAATAGAAGAGTGGTAGAACCTGAGTACAAAAAGGAAAAAATTCTAATTAATTAAATGTATCTTTGATTAACAGAAAAATAATATAAGCTACAATAATATTGTTATTTCAGAATTCCCGTTACAAAGTAACAGTAAGAAGATGGTGATCTACAAAACTTTACTTGTGACATAATTCTAGTGTAGTTTATTTAAGAAATATAAAGGAAAATGATTGGATTACAAATAAGATTAATATAATGATACATCAGTATTATGAATATCTTTCTTACATAAATATTTTCTGAAGACATGGATAATAAAAAAGGTAGCACAATAAAATTATACAGGGACAACTTATTAAAATAAATAAACATGCTCAGTTCATTGTAATGAAATAAAATTTGTTTTCTGAAAACAAATGGAAAGAAAATAATAACCATGTTAGCCCAGAGAAAGGAATACACTTGAATTATAGATGAACAAGGGCATATACTGTATATGACTATCATGTAACCATGAAGAATAGGTCAAGATAAGGGAAAAGCAGCAGAAACATCAGTTCTCAGGCAGTGGTGCCTGAGATTATTACAGTGTGCCCAATTAGTTTATGTCACTTTTAAAAAGTCATTTAAATAAATGTATTTGTGGAAGAAAAAATATCTGAACATCAGGTATGGTCTGATCCACAATGATCCAACGATCTGTCATAACTCATTCTAGGAGTATTCTTATACAGTTTGCAAGAGAAATTACATGTGGAGCTACAGAGGAACATTTATCAAAATTCATAAAGCTATTTAACCTGAATGTTACGTAGTACATAGTGACCATCATACAATAGTAAAAATACAATATCTGATACTATTTTTACAAGCTATGACGTAAACAATTTAGGCTCTTTTTAAAAAAATAAAAGAAATTTGATTACAACTTTATTTCAAGCATTTTCAGTTAGACATAGGTTTATATATTTTCACTCAAAATGGCAAAGGACCTTCTGTAGGTAAAATATATTCTGTGTTTAAATGCTTGCATTCTGAAGTATGATTTGCCATGTACGAGTTCAGGTAGGACAATGAAGCTGCTGTAGCAAAATCCTGGCTGATGATGAAGACTTGGACACTTTTCATCTTTCATGCAGCCATTCAATATTTTGTGTATTTACATGAAGGAGAAAAAAGGGGAGGATACAAAGAGAGCCAGTATTCTTTTTGGATGAAACAGCCTAATTCCAGAGAATGAGCTTTCCATTTTGAACTCAAAGACTGTGGTCCCCAAATTGAATTCTTACCAGTCCAAGGAGCTGCCTTTGGCCTGTGAGGCAACACTTGATGATGAAGTGAGCTAGGAAAGTGTTAACTGAACTACAGAGATGGCTGCGTGCAAAACAAGTTTCCAAACATGCTCAGGCCCACGCAGAGGTGAGGTGCAGCCAGAACTATTAGTTAAAAACAAATGCCCTCACGGATGCAGACATAGAGCTTGTAGGAAGTCACCGTTCTGGGGGCCTGGTTGTAGTTTCCAATACCTGCCTTCACCACTCTCTGACTCTTCTATTTTTCTGATTTGTTTAATTTGAGTCCAAGGATTTCATTAGCAACTTTCTGAAAATACAGGAAGACAGTCTCCTGTCTTGGCTGAGATAAAGTGGCTACTAAAACCATTTTCCTGGCAAAACCATAAGTGTTTTTCAGGTTTTACTGTTTCCATGTGCTCCAAATAAATTTTATTGCTCACCAAGGCAACCAGTAGCAAAGCTTCTGACTCTTCGCTCACTTTCTTCGGTACAATGTACCCATCTTTTTTTTTTTTTTTTTTTTTGAGATGGAGTCTCGCTGTCGCCCAGGCTGGAGTGCAGTGGCGCGATCTCGGCACACTGCAAGCTCCGCCTCCCGGGGTTCACACCATTCTCCTGCCTCAGCCTCCCGAGTAGCTGGGACTACAGGCCCCCGCCACCACGCCCGGCTAATTTTTTTTTGTATTTTTAGTAGAGACAGGGTTTCACCGTGTTCGCCAGAATGGTCTCGATCTCCTGATCTCGTGATCCGCCCGCCTCGGCCTACCAAAGTGCTGGGATGACAGACATGAGCCACCGCGCCTGGCTGTACCAATCTTTTAAATTCTCCAAGCTTTGCTAATTTGTAACAAGAGGATTCTCTGTGGTCCATAGATAAATGCATCCACCTTCTTGCCGCCTATTGTACGCACCCCCTACATCCCATACTTGAAGAGTAACGTTCAAGTTTCCTGGCAATGTTATCCTGCTCAAAAAATATGTATATATATTCATCACTATAGTTTAGTTTTATTGGTTCCCAAAAGTTTCTTGAGCAAAACTCATAGGTCTTCCAGGAGGTGCTGCTTCAAGCATGACCAATTTCAGTTGCCATTCTTGATTTCTTTCTTGGGGTCTGATGGAGTTCAGTGTGGTGCTCAGGCTAGCTCCCCAGGCAGAGGGAGAAGGAAAGGAGAGCGCCTCCGTAGGTGGGGAGAGAAGGAAGGGAGCAGGACCCTGCCCTGGGATCTGGGTGCCCTGGAGAGATCGGGGGAAACTAGTTGATGATACTTTTGTTAAATGAACCAGTACTTTCACATGCTTTTAAGTAAAAATGAAATTTAACTGGAAGGACCCAAATCAAACATGGTATCTCTTGAGTTATCTCTCACTATGGATGACAAAGGCTGTTGTCAAAGTTGATTTCACTCAATTAACTTGATGGACATTAAACAACCTGTATAAGCCCAGAAAATGAGGGTTCTGGGAGATCTGTTATTACAGAAATGCAGAGGTGTCCTAACTCGTGTCATGTGAAGGTGGCCATGATGCAGATAAGGACATGGCTATGAATGTGCAGGCTATAGTTTTCCCTGACCTGGGTCCATGACCGTGCCTTGAGGGTGGAAGAAACACCAGAGCGCCCTCAGATAAGATGGCTGGAGAGCATGACAAAAACCATGAAAGTAAGACCAGACCGTGCATGCAAGATGAATGCTGGCATCTGGCTGAATAGAGGAATTTGAACAAACAAAATCATTTTTCTGCAAGCTCTTCACATAATTCTACTCCACCTGGAGCTTCATGACTGAAATGAGTGGTTATCTATATTCAGGTCTAGTCAGACGTGCTGATTAATTATAGTTGATCAGCATACATATATCATGCTTTCTTACATATTTAATCTATCCCATGTATACATAAGATTTTGTAGGATAAATTATTTATTAGCATTAAAGTGTAAAATTTGCTTGATAACTATAAAATGCCTTAAATACACTAGTATGAGTTTTAAAATTATACCAAAATGACCAATGTGAAGGGTAGTGTTACTATGCTGGGTATGTCCTGCCACTGCGTCCTTTAGGAGATTTCTATAGCATCACAATGAAGTCCACCTGTGTGTGAAAGAGAGGCTTGCGCTCACCTTCCTTACCAGCAATGCAAAAGTGCTCAGGGGACCCAGCTTGGTCTGAGTACAAAAACAAACCTAAGAGGCTTCAAAGCCAGCTCTCCTGTAGTATGTGCTCACAACCCTGAAAGAAAAGCAAGAAAATCCCAAACTCCAGATTTTCTAATATAAGCTCTAGTGAAATACTTACCTTTCTTGAGTCAAAGCAGAAGCAACTGCTAACTAGAAATGTCAGCCTGCTGCCTCAGAGAATTTCTATGGCTGTTCTGGGGTGAAGAGGGTGGAGTCTTTGGCTTTCTTACCACAGGTGATCAGGTAAGAAGGAACCACAGCATCCTCTATGAAGAAATGCTGTCCGAGGTGATACCTGGAATCCAAAGCTTTTCTAAAGGAGACCTGGGAGGGGACTCCACACCCATCAACCAATAGCAGCCCAGCCCAAAGGCTGCAAATTTGCTTCTTTCTGACACCCAGTGGAGAAACAATCACCAGCTCTTTTCCAGTGAGTCCAGCACTGTCTGCAATTGGATTTGCTTTAGTTGCAGGGATTGTAAGCCAGTTGATGTGTGTGTGTGTGTGTGTGTGTGTGTGTGTGTGTGTGTGTGTGTGTGTGTGTGTGTGTGAAGCTTGAGGCACCTGGTGTTAGTTTTTCTATCCAGTTGTATTAAAATTGGCATGAAATTTCTTATCTAGAATTTCAAGCCTCCAGCTGTGAGCCTTATTCAGCTATCATTGATTTCATCTCCAAAAAAGATAAAACCAGGAAATAGAATGTGTGTGAGAGAGTCCAAATGATTGTTTCTTTTACCCTTAACTAACTCCCTTTCCTTAGCCCCTCTCCTGCACCTACTGGTTTTCTGAGGTTTATTCCTGCAGTCTTTAGTAAAATAATTTTAAATGTGCGAATGGGGTGACCAGGTTAGAGACTCCCAGGGAAGAACCATGCTATGTATCCCACTAATAAGTTCTCCTTATGGAGCTAAAGTCTTTCACTGGAGCTGTTTCCAGTGTAACTTGATGTAGCATTTGGGATAGTCTCATCGTGGAGCACCACCACTATCCCAGTGGGCCGATACCTGTTTCTTCTAAGAGGACAATCAGGTAAGTTTTCCCAAAGCGCCTTTGGGAAATCGTGCCGTTCAGAGAGCTGCGTTGTGGTCATGCATCTAGAAGGTCATGCTGTTCATGCACTGTCTCTTCTAACTCCATGTCCTCCATTCCTGGGTGTTTGCCAGCAGGTTGGAATGATGGCTCACTGAAAACTGAAGATGACATGGAAGATGAAAAGGGAGATGAGAAAGTCCTGCCCATTAATGAGAGGAAGATGGGCACAATGCGGTGACCTCACAGGTCTCCAGGCCTCAGCTCAGCTCTGATGAAGAGGCTCATGTCATACAGTCTCTTCAGATGATCACAGAGAAAAACGTGGTGACAGAGAGGCAGATGTTTTACTGTTTCCACTTCTGGAACTTGTTGCAGGGTATGAAGAGGGTCAGCACCAGAGAAGATATAGAATATCATGTCTGCAATAGATGAAGCCATCAAAGGATGGCTTCACTTCACCACCAGGCAGCACTGACCAACTTACGGCAATAAATCCCGCAGACCAGAATTACACCCATCAAATGCCTCACTCACCATATGTCAGCCCAGAAGACTCTTGCAGTGGTGAGCCAGTCTCTTTATCCACCAAGCCTGACCCAGCAGGCAGGAGAGGCCCAGTACCAAGATGATCATCCACAATAACCTGCACACTGCATCGAGGACGGAGGCCAGCCCTAACAGCCCGCGGCCCTCAGGAGGGAGAGGCAGTAAAGGGCTCCTTCTCTCTTTGTCCTGATGAATGGGCATTGCACTAGAAAGATGAACATTAGGAGCAGATTATCAGAGCCTTGGTCCAGCCACCATCTCCTCTATGATGACCCAGATGGGCAAACCTTCTGAGGGCAAAGGTCCAACCAACATCCTGGGTGGCTGGCATTTTCTGAATTTCTATAGCTCATCACAAAGTGCAGCAAGAATGGGAGTATTTGGTGCACCTTGATTTTGCAGTTGCCTCTGATGGCCAAGAGACTTAGGGCCAAAGATTTCTCCCGACCCACGATCCAGGTCATATTTCTGCGGCACAGCTGTGACCCTCATCCCAACTACAGCCACTGGCACAATATCCAGTAATATTTGCAAATGATTATGCTAACATCAGGTTATAAAAGCTTGTTGTTTTTAATTTGAGTTATATTTTTAAAATACAAAATGTCTTGTTTTTTATGTTTGTGTTCATGTGGTACATTTTCCAGGATAAGATGGGCTGTGCGGTAATGGCAAATAAACCCTCCAAGTCTCAGTGGCTGGCCTCCTCTAAGTTTATTTCTTGCTCACAGGGTCTGCCGTGAGACCAGAGATTCTACAGAGCAACTCCCCTTCCACCCCTGCCCAGGAAATAGAACATGTGCGTAACTGAGAGACAAATCATGTAGAAAAACAAGGTGATTTTCCTAGAGAAGGACTGAAGTGCTTTGCTAGTATTAGTCACTATGACAAAAAGTAGAGAACTATTCTGTTTCTTTAATCATCTAAGAGACAGACCATTCACTTGGAGTGAAATATTTAAACTATTTCTTCATCTCTTGAATTAAAAGACCTTAATAATATGAATTCATAACTCGAATATAGATAATAAACCCAGCACAGTTTGGCACAACAATTTTTATTTCCTCTTGAAATACCAAGGCTATTTTCTCATGTAAATTATATACGTATCTATATACATATTTTCAAGGACTGAAATTAATTTTAACATCTTTAAAACACCAAATAGTATCATATTTCCTGTAAAATGGCTGGTTACCTCAAAGGCAGCATTTTAACATCCTTAGCTGCTTTAAAAGATTATCAGCAGTCTATAGTAAATATTACATGAGACATTTAAAGAATGGTGCTTCATTTCATCATTTAAAAATCTTAGTCAAGAAGAGACAAGAACAATTTCTTAGAATCAAAGCTCCTTCATTGGGAAATCATTCATCTTGGAAAAAGCAGAAATATTTTGGCTAATAAAAAACATTTTATTACTAAATTAACATTGAAGAAGTTGTAAAAATCTCATTTTGCTTTAATTTGTTAAAGTCAAAGCCTTATATGCACCTTTGATTTTTATAAAATTTTAACTATTTGAAAATAAAGTATTAAGCATCAAAAGTAAATAGAAAAAATTAAAAATAAAATGAAAACCAATGAAATGGAACACAGACCAATAATAAAATCTGTGCTGCCAAAAGCTGATGCTTTGAAAAGATTATTAAAAACTGCAAAACACCTAGCAAAAGGAAAACATCACCAATATCAAGAATATAAAATGGGACATTATTATAGACCCTAGAGATACTACAAGGATTATAATAATATGTATGCTGAACAACTTTAAGGCAAGAAATTTGACAATTTAAATGAAAAGCATGAATTTCAATTTCTTATGGTATAGTTACTTGCAACTCTGGAGAGCCCACATAATTCATCTAGTAGCCATCTTCTAGCTTTGTGGGTTCTCTGTAAAAAAGAAACTGGAAGAGTCACAGTAAACAAACGACATATACTTTCCACCCTTACATGAGTAGAGAATAATCTGCTAGAGCAAATGGGCTGGGTGTGGTGGCTCACACCTATATTCCCAGCACTTTGGGAGTCTGAGGCGGGTGGATCACCTGAGGTCAGGAGTTCGAGATCAGCCTGTTCAATATGGTGAACCCCCATCTCTACGAAAAATACAAAAATTAGCCTGGCGTGGTGGCAGGCACCTGTAATCCCAGCTACTCGGGAGGCTGAGGCAGGAGAATTGCTTGAACCCAGGAGGCAGAAGTTGCAGTGAGCCGAGATGGACCCATTGCAATCCAGCCTGCAAAACAAGAGGGAAACTCTGTTTCAAAAGAAAGAAAAAAAGAAAAGAAAAGAGAAAAGAAAACAAAAAGAATCTCCAAATGCTCAAATAAACTCTATATAATTTAAATGTGTTTTAATTTTTCTCTTACTCTTAGGAAATTGATATTTTAAGAGAAAACAACTAGTCAGTGATTGTTTCCAGGAGAACTCCATTTTGTGGAAGCTCCTCTGAGACGCACCTAAACCCTTTAGGGGAGCTCCTGGGAGAGCCTGAGCTTCTCCTGATTCAGGTCCCCTTTGTGTGTTCACTAAGAGTCTTCTCTTTGCCGAGTTTTGTAACAAGGTTGTTGAAAATGGAAGAGTATTTTCAGCCGTGAGCTTACTTTGCAACATTCAGCTTTCTTTAGAGTTTCAGGAAGTTCGTAATTGTCTTATAATGAACAAGAACTTTCCTATAAGAAGAACTACAAAGCATGCCATTCAGAAAATAGGTAATAGACATTAATCTCAGGAATACTAAATATTTTAGGAAGTCTCTAGGTTCAGAAAAACCCAGGAGCCCTGTGGACTGAATGCCAACCTCCCCTCCCTCCCCCCTGCCCCCCCGACCCCCAACCCCTCTCACCTCCGCAGTGAGCTCCCTGCTTTCAGGCTCAACCTTCTAAAGTTCTCTTTCCTGGCTGGATGAGTCTCCCATGAAGCCTCTTCCATCTCTCCACTGCTCAGAGCTCTCCAGAACTCACACTGTGAGATCTCCAGAACTCACATTGTGATTTAAATCCAGGGTTTACTTACTAGTCTTTACTTACTAGTCAAAGCCCCACATGCTTGCCCTGAAATCCCTCTAGTTATTTAGTGTTGGAAACTCACCACTAGGACCATTATTTTGCTATTAGATCTATTTTTGGGGGAAATGCCTAATGTCAGGATTTTTTTTTTTTTTTGAAACAGAGTCTCGCTCTGTCACCAGGCTGGAGTGCAGTGGCGCGATCTCGGCTCACTGCAACCTTCACCTCCCGGGTTCAAGTGATTCTCCTGCCTCAGCCTCCCGAGTAGCTAGGACTACAGGCACGTGCCACTATGCCCAACTAATTATTGTATTTTTAGTAGAGACGGGGTTTCACCATGTTGGCCAGGATGGTCTCGATTTCTTGACCTCGTGATCCGCCCGCTTCAGCCTCCCAAAGTGCTGGGATTATAGGCGTGAGCCCCTGTGCCAGACCAATGTCAGGATTTTTTGGCTTACCTTTACTGACCTGGTCTAATCCCCACAGATGAATATTTATTGATTTATTTATTTCTCTTTTTGGAGGAAGGAAGCCCTGTTGTCAGCATCCTAAAAGCTAGAAATGAGAAAAGCTGCGAATCTCAATTTTCAGTGTGTACTTTGTTTTCAATATTGTACCCTTTCCTCAATTGGTCTCCGTGGTCTCCAGTCCAGAGACTCTCTGTTTTATCCTCTATGGAAAATGAATATTTTGTCCTTTATACAGAAATGGACATGTGGGGCCGTCTTCAACCACTCCTAAAACACTAAAACAGACATTCAATAAATCCTCCTGTTTCCAGCCCCACTTAATCCTCCAAGTTACATAACTGCAGATTGCAGCGCTCACATAGGAAACCCTGTGAGCAGCCTCCTTTGAAGCTGGTCATCCCTCCAGCCTTATTCCCCCACACTCTCAACGGTATTGTAACTAAGGACCTCAGTTTTAAAAATATACTTCAGTCATCCACTCTCTTTATCTTCCTTCCTGCCGCTCTCACACCTTGATTAAAACCATTTTTTCCTTCCACCCATCCATGTCTTGACTCTGGCTTTTAGGTGGCAAGCTGCTGGACTTAGGACCAGATACAGTATCGTATGTCATGAGCCTTTGGGGAGCTCTTCAGTTTACAACTTGGTGGCTCAAAGATTTCCTTTCTACTGCTTTAGACAGCTTTTTGGGGGGATGTGTTTTCCGAAATCAGCTGCTCTTTCCGTATAGAACCATACATTGAGATTACATGAGTGGCTGTGATGTCTAATGTAACAGAATATTTGATTCTCTTTGTCTATATTGTTTATAGAAAAACATCTCATTGATATGTTTCTTTCCCCTTCCATCTCTGTTACTGTGCTAACCATTACCAGATCTTTAACAATAAATTTAGGATTTTAAAATATATTTGTGGCAGGAATTACTGTCTGCCTCTAGAGGTAACATTTGAGTGAACTGTCTTATTGTCATTGGCAACTTCCTTCAGATCATGCCACTGCATTACAGACTGGTCGACAAGAGTAAGACTGTCTTAAGAAAAAAATTAAAAAGATTAAAAAAAAAAAGAAACCTTTCTAAGGTAATAATTGGAGACACTGGCAAAGACATGTGACAGTGTTTTCACTTTCTTTTATTACAATGTCAAAGTATAGAAATACCTAAATATTGAACCATGGAGAGATGATTGAATTGTACAATATTCCTATGTATGGCTGATTGATTCAGTTAGAACTTTACTCACATATTGAACTTCAAAATTTTCACTCCCCCGACCAATGCTTTTTAGCCTTCTATTTTACTTTGCTTCTTAACACTCATCACTGTCTAATATACTATATTTTTCTTGTTTATGGTCTGCCTTTCCCAGAATAGAATCTTCATGAAGGCAGAGATTTTTGTTTTTATTTCGTTCATTCATCTAGCTCCAGTAATTAGAAAACTATACTGCACATGGTAACAACTCGCTAAATATATGTTGAATGAGTCATCAATGCTTTTCTCTTAACTTAATGACATGGGAAAATGTCCATAAAGTATACAATAAAATATGCAGACTCAGAACATAAAAAATATACACACATTCTCACACACACATACACACGACAAAATCTTGACTTCAGGGTGTTCTGCTGAACTTCAGTTGTTCTTGACTTCCACATGTGGAGGTGGAGCATCTTTGTTAAGTTTATAAGTAATATGATTTTCTTTGTTTATGAAATGCCAGGTTATATGTTTCCTTTGTCCAGTTTTGTATTCGTTTCTCTTCTGATTTGTATGAATTCTTCATATTCCATAAACACTACTCCTTTTTCATAGGTGTTGCAAATCATCTCCTTTCCGCTAATGGCTTCTATTCCCTTTTTATAAAGTCTTTTGATAAACTAAAATGTTAATATTATTGTTGTAAAATGAACCAATGTTTTACTTCATAGTTTTGTGTTTTGGGTATGAAATCCTTGTCCACTGGAAGGTATAAACTATTTCTTCATATTTTCTGAATTTTAAAGTTTTTTATTTTTTATTTTAACTCATTAGAACTTACATTTGTTTTTTTGTGTCCAGTGACAGGTAGGGGTCCAATTTTATATTTTTTCTCATCTGTAACTAACGTCCCAGTACCATTAATATTTAGAGTTGCCCATTCTTTCCCAATGGACCTGAAACAGAACATCTCATGCACTGGGTTCCCTTATAATTTGGCTATTTCTACATTTTGAGCTGTTTGTCTTTCTTATATAACTCTGTAGTCATGTAAGTAGTCTTATGTATGGAGTCTCCCTTCTGATGGAGTTACCTACCCCACTGATATTTTTTTAGGCTTTCTCTTTACTAATAAATATATTTACAAATACAAACCACCTTCTAAAGAATGCTTTAGTTGCACCAAACATATACAAGCTTTGATATGTAGTGTTTTTATTGCCATTCTGTTCTAAACATAACTTCATTTTCTTATTTCAAATGTATTTTTAAATTTCACAAAGTATAGTATATTGTGATCTTCTGGTTAACAAAATCTATGTTGTCAAATTGTGGTCTAAGAATATGATCATATTAATTATTATTATTACTTTTTTTTTTTGAGATGGAGTCTCACTCTATTGCCAGGCTGGAGTGCAATGGCACCATCTCAGCTCACTGCAACCTCTGCCTCCTGGGTTCAAGCAATTCTCCTGCCTCAGCCTCCTGAGTAGCTGGGATTACAGGCACGTGTCACCACACCCAGCTAATTTTTGTATTTTTAGTAGAGACAGGGTTTCACCATGTTGGCCAGGATGGTCTCGATTTCCTGACCTCGTGTTCTGACCACCTAGCCCTCCCAAAGTTCTGGGATTACAGGCGTGAGCCACTGCGCCTGGCCCGATGATTATTATTTATTGATACTTGCTGTGGCCTAGTACACTGCAATTTTTATAAGTGTTTCATATCAACTTGAAAGGAAAGCATTTTTTGTCATTTTTGAGTATTATGATCTGTTAATACCCTTTTCATAAAATTTTCATAAATAGTGTTTTCAAATATCCTTATTTTGAGATTTTGTTTTTGGTTTATTGCTCAACCAGTATCTGAGGGAAGTATTATTTAATTGTGGCAAAATACAACATAAAATGACAATTTTAACCATTTTTAAATACAATTCAGTAGTGTTAAGTGTATTCGCATTCAGAACACAACCAGTCTCCACAAGTTTTTCATCTTGTGAAACAGAAACTACATCCATTAAATAACTTGTCCCCTCCCCACAGTGAGTGAGGTATTTTAAACTGTCTCTCTGGAATATCTGTTCACTTATCATGATTTTGTCAAGTTTTACATCATATGTATTGAGGCTTTTTATATGCATAAAGGTGAATTTTATTATTACTTCTTACTTTATAATAATGTATTATTTTAAGCATTTTAAGTACTTACAAAGCTGATTATGTATATTTAGTCTCTAAATACCTGCAAGGAATAAGTATAGTGCTTTATTTCTAAGGAGAAATTTCTGTTTTCACCTAGAGAATAGCAAAGTTCCCTATCCTTTCTCTCTTTAAAAAAATCAGTCTACTGTTTGAATGTGCCCTATTTTCTATGTGCTGGCTGGGTGCAGGCATCTGTATTCCCATTCATTATATCACAAAGGTCAAAGGCTTTATCTCTGATATCTGCAATGCTATCAACACCCAACTCTAAATACAGAGTATGGAAAGGAGAATTGTTATGTATTTTCTAGTGTCTCTAGGTGTTTCTAATTACAAAAGTTGGGTGTTGTTGTTAAGTTATCTTAGCCAGCCACCTTGATGAATTGGGATGTCTCCATGACATAATATTAACCTGAAAAAATACAGTTTGTCGATAGCATTTACTCAGTGATTCCAGAAATGTGTACTGTGAGCCCACCATGCACATGCTTATGGAAGTCCATAAATCATTCTGTCCACTTGAAGAATCATGGTTCATATATTTGGGAAGAGGGCTATATTTCTAAAGCAGGTTACCACAACCCGCAGGCAGGACGCAGAAACTCTGAACCTCTGAACTGAGCAGAAAATAAGTGCTTCCAGGGAGGGAGGAATAAGAAAGGCTAACATGTATGTAACATGTGTCCCATGTTCACTTTGGGGTGGAGACATAGCATTTAAGTGTATTTCAGTTAGGCCTTGTACATCAAAAGGTGAAGTGGAGGATACGAAGGCACTTAGTACACAGCCTTTGTAGACCAGCCAGAGCCATGCTGTGGTGGGTGGTCTCTTATTGGGAAGGAATGCTGGTCAGTTTCTGTGTTAAAGCTGCAAGAGGGAGGACAAGTGTCAGGCAGTTGGCTGAAATCACTGGGCAAGACTTTTGAAAGGGCTGGTTTCTGCCTTCACCCTTAGGGAAGAAAGCCTAATGGTCGTTAGCCATTCTCTAGAGAAACCTTAAAAACCTCTGGTCCCTTTGACCAAGAGGAAGTCTGTTCAGTCAAGTGGGGGGCTTAGGATTCTCTTTATTTCTCAATATATAAGTCCTTCACTCATGGCCTAGCATGATCTAGCAAGGATTCAGTGTGATTCCACTAGTGACAATTTATTTAGTCCTAAGTCCATGTGTATGGACATGTAAATACATGGAAGGCTGCTCAGCAAAATATTGGTTCTGTTTATCTTTGATATCTTGGTGGTAGTTTCTTGGTGGTAGGTAGCATCTTCTTCATGTCTTTCCAAATTATTTTTATTTTGGGGGTTGTATATAAAGAGAATATTATAAGCAAACCAAAAAATGCAAATAGTATATATATAAAATGAAAAATAATTCAAAATATTTAATTGCTCATGATATCATAAAATGGTAGACTTTCTCAGCGAGTGCATATATTTCCTTAACATGAAGTTATTAACATATGGTCAGCATTTTCATTTCAACTTAATGTAGTTTATAGTTCTCACTATCTAAATTGACATTTACTTTAAAATATAGAAAAAGACTTCTCAGATGATAATAATGGTAAGGTTAATTATACATAATGGTCCCATTCTTTTTTTCTGTGAACCAATATGTGAAATCAACGACTATCTTCTCTATGAAAGTTTTAGGTGGCTTAGACAATGTTCATGCTTTATTAGAGTCTCACCTCGAATGGGCAAGAGCCTGCATTGCTTAGGTTAGTACTGGACATAGTGAAGTGATCCATGCCACATAGATGCATAAATCATTTCGAACAGCTGGGCAGTTTCAGGAGGCCAATTAATCAAGTGGAAACCAGGTGTAGAGGCCAATGAAAAGCTTCCCCTTTGCCCTCTGAAGGTTTGCTGAAAAATCAACTCAAAAAAGGTAAATTAACAGGAGAAATGGCATGCAAATTTATTAGTGTGCACAAAGAGAATCACAGAGTGATTGTCAATACCTTAGTGGGGTTCAGAAGCCTGTATACCATGCTGCAGAAGGGGAATCTCAGAGAAAGCCTGGCTGTTTATTTCACCTATATAGATTTTCTGCACAGATGCAAATCTACTCCACGAAAGTCAGCTTTTCTGCACTATTCCTGTCTGCTGGCCCTCTGAATAGCCACCTCAAGACACATCAAAGAACTATGTTTTGGGGTGAAATATTTTTGATTTCCTTTAGCAAAGGAAAGGTTTGTATACCTTTACTCCTTTTGTATATCAGGCACCCAGCCACTCGCTATTGCTTACCTGCACCCCATCCTCATTCCAGAGAGTTATTTCCTGCTTGTATATGTTTCCTTGAACTGCCATAACAAAGTACCATAGACTAGGTGGCCTAAACCACAGAAATTTATTTTCTCACGGTTCAGCAGGCTGGGAAGTCCAAAGTTATGTTGTTTTGGCCAGTTGGTTTCTGGTGAGAGATCTCTTCCTGGCTTGTAGATGGTCACCTTCTAGCTGTGTTCTCACATGGCCTTCTTTAACTGTATGTATAAGGAGAGAGAAAGAGAGAGAGAGGGAGAGAGAACTTCAACCATCTGACCCCTGCTTTGAGCCTCATACTTTGCATATGAGTCCCAAATCCATATGCACATTAATAAATGGATATGCCTTTAAAAAATCTGCCTATAATCAGTTTGTTTTATAGGCTTCATAAAAAGCCACCAATCCTATCAGATTAGGGGCCCAACCTAATCTGATGGGGTGTAACTTTAATTACCTAATGTCACTTTAATTACTTCCAAATGTAGTCTAAATGAATTCAGGTCATAGCAATTCAGTCCATAGCTTGGCTTAACCTGGTCCGCAGTCACAGGTGAAGCTGAGCTATGGACTGAATTGCGGCTCGTCCGAATTCATAGGTTAAATCCCTAACCTACAATTTGACTGTATCTCCAATGTAGCCAAATTGGCAGCTAGGGATTTAACCTATGAATTGGGACGGGCTGCAATTCAGTCCATAGCTCGGCTTCACCTGTGACTGCAGGCCCGCTCTGACCCAGGTAAACAGATAGACTTCTCTGTAATTCAGCAGGATAAAACACCTTCTCCAATAAAGTCTTAACTACAGCTTTGGGGAAGGGCTTCTCTTTCCAAGTTCGTTCTTCCTTGAGTATCTTCCCTCAGCTCTAGATTAACTTATAGAGTTCACTTATATCCTATAGTTAATCTTTTATCATGGTATAATTCTTTATATTAAATTTCTGTTGAAATCACTCTATGGTTTTTATCTTCTGATTTGACCTACACTGCTACAAGAACAGACAAGCTGAGAAGCATGAGCTTGAAATATAACTGCCCCTGGTGTTAATCATTACATTTTTGTGGAATGTATCTGTTATAGGACTAGGTATTCACTTTAATTATACTTGTACTTTAGTTTTATTTAATTATACTTTATTATGATTCTGCCATGTAAAATGTATGCCTGTGAAGAAAATCAAAACATTTCACCCCCAAATATCCTTCTTTGACATCTTTTGAGATGGCTGTTCAGAGGGTCTGCAAATAGAAGTAGCCCTGAAAAGTTGTCTTTCCTCAGGAGGGAGGTTTGCATCCATAGAGAATCTGCCTTGATACAGCCAGGTTTCTCTGGGGCCCTTCCTCATCTGAGTCTAGTCTGACACCTTTAAACTTCTCAAAGAAACATTTACCATCTATTTTCTGTGATGGCTGCTACCTGTGAGGTTTCAGCTACATAACAAGACCAGCTTTGCTGCTAGGCCTCCTCTTCTCTCCCTCCCATAACATGTCCCACCACCATAACTTGATTCACCACCATAACCTGGTTTTGGCCATGCTCTGAGCTGCCATTCTTTCTGTAGCCTCGAGATGGCATACAAACTTCAACCATCTGACCCTCGCTCTGAGTTTATTAATACTTTGTATGTGATACCCAAGCCCATATGCATGTTAATAAATTTGTATGCCTTTTCTTCTGTTAATCTGCCTATTTTCAGTTTGTTTCATAGGCTTACATTATCAAAACTTCAGTGGGAAAATGTAAACTTCCCTGCAATGCCAGTGCAGCACAAAGCTTAGAGCATATGGTAACCCTGAGAGGAGGGCCGCTGCATCGGGGGGACCTCACAAGACAAGTCTGGAAGGTAGGGACAAGCAGGCAGAGGGAATCAGGGTGGCAGTGTGGGCAAGAGACCTGGACCACATAGCGTCTCTCTCAAGAGGGCTGCATGAAGGTGGTCACTAGGACAGGCTAGGACTGAGGGGTGGTGTATTTTGAACATGTCACTGGGGCAGAATGACACCAGATGTTCTCATACCCACACTGCTGGCACACCATGCAGCAGCTGGAAAGAGCAGAACAGTCTTCTTTCTGCTTACTGGTATCCTTACTGGTAAGCAGAAATGCTTAAAGATGTCCATTAGTACAGAACATGTATTGAAGACTGCATTTGGAGATCAGAGGCAATAAATTGAAAACTAGCATGATTCTCTTAGTCACTTTTTACATAATAGATTCTAATAATTTAAGACTTTTTTTGTATGTGATTTATTGTAGCCCATGTGTTACAAAGGATCTGAGAATTAGACACTTTAATTGTAATATATTACTAACTTTAATATGGACTGTTGTTACCCCATTTATGGGAGTGAAATATGCTTAAAGAAACATTACAATGTGTCTAAAGTAACTTCTTAAACTTGCAAAAATCAGAGTGGATATGCCACATCATTGCACTCTAGTGTGAAAATCCAGACATACAAGAGCAGGTCAGACACCACCTGGGATAAGCTTTCACCTATCCTCCTTTTATGATCAGAAATTATTTTGCAAATTTTGCATTTCTACAAAATTATCTTAGGTTATTATCTAAATTCACCATTTAAGATTCACCATTAAAAAAAATTTCTGGGCTGGGCGCAATGGCTCACAGCTGTAATCCCAGCACTTTGGGAGGCTGAGACGGGCAGATCACGAGGTCAAGAGATCGAGACCATCCTGGCTAACACGGTGAAACCCCGTCTCTACTAAAAATACAAAAAAATTTAGCCGGGCGTGGTGGCGGGCGCCTGTAGTCCCAGCTACATGGGAGGCTGAGGCAGGAGAATGGCGTGAACCTGGGAGGCGGAGCTTGCAGTGAGCCCAGATGGCGCCACTGCACTCCAGCCTGGGTGACAGAACTAGAGTCCGTCTTAAAATATAATATAATATAATATAATATAATATAATATAATATAATATAATATAATAATATAATACAATAATATAATATAATATAATATAATACAATATAATAATAATATAATATAATATAATACAATATAATATAAAAATTAAAAATTCTGATACCTTCTAAGGGAGGAGGATGTACTATTTGTTCTTTAAATTCTCACGGTATTTCCACATTAGAGTCCCCAAATACAAGAGCTCTAATGAGAAAGTGACTGCTCAGAAATTTGAGCAGACGTTTTATCCTTATGCCTTCATTTCTTTCATTGCTTAATAAACTCTAATGGATAATAGTGAACACATTTCTATATAGTTTCCGATCAAACGATTCTGTGAAAATTTAGTCAAGGAATCAAGAGAAAGTACAGTCATTTCTCCAAAGGAGCATTTCAACAGACATTTCATCAAAAACAAAATTTAAAATGGCAACCTGTGTGAAACACTTTGGCAGAATAATAATAATAAATAATTTGGATGCAAGCTGAATACATGAATTATTTTACTGGGGTGGAGGATATGGGCATTGCATGCTTATTACATTTTTGGTTTGTATTGCCCTACATGTTATTTAATGTCCTAGTGTTTTGACAAAGACAGGCATAAAATGAGCACTAATATTTTAGTTTCTGTCTTCTTTTTTTTTTTTTTTTTTTTTTGAGACGGAGTTTCGTTGTCTCACCCAGGCTGGAGTGCAGTGGCGCGATCTTGGCTCACTGCAAACTCTGCCTCCCGGGTTCATGCCATTCTCCTGCCTCAGCCTCCCGAGTAGCTGGGACTACAGGCGCCTGCCACGACGCCCAGCTAATTTTTTGTATTTTTAGTAGAGACAGGGTTTCACCGTGTTAGCCAGGATGGTCTCGATCTCCTGACCTCGTGATCCGCCCGCCTCGGCCTCCCAAAGTGCTGGGATTACAGGCGTGAGCCACCGCGCCCGGCCTAGTTTCTGTTTTCTTAAGGAAATAGACCAGTCCTTTGCAAACACATGTTTTATTTCCTAGTAAACTC
The DNA here is from genome assembly GCF_000001405.40 of Homo sapiens. Lineage (NCBI taxonomy): Eukaryota > Metazoa > Chordata > Mammalia > Primates > Hominidae > Homo > Homo sapiens. The sequence goes on along the minus strand of NC_000009.12, from coordinate 39,718,941 downwards.
ATCTATTGCTACAACTGTGCAATTTAAGGGACAAATCATTCCTCCTTAATCTCCGTTGATGGCAATTCCATCTGGTGCCCAAGCTAATGACTTTGGGATCACCACTCTTCTTCTCTCACACTCTACATCCAGTCTAGAAAGAAATCTTATTGGTTCTATCACACTTACAAAACCTATCAAAAACCCTACCACTGATTAAGAACTCCATTGTCACCACCCTGATCAAAGCCATATTTTTCTCTTTCCTGGACCAATTTAACGGCCTCTGGAGGAGGACTGGCCCCTAGATGGCCTCAGCGGACCCAGCTTTCTTCTCCCCTTCCCCATTTCCTGGCTTACAGTTTTAGAATAACTGTAGAATGTGCTAAGAATGCAGTATCTTGATATATAGAGGAACTTTCTAGAAAAGCCTGGGCTTTGTCCTCATTCCTTGTAGAACGGGATGTCCTATAATGCTTTTGCTCAGTGACCCACCCACGGGATGCCCTGGAGCTAAAACCCAGAGCGGTGTGCTTTCAGAGTCCTTCAGCTGTAGTGCAAAGTGGAGCATGTGTAGATGAGTATATATTCTCTTTATACCAGAAGTAAGTATAGTTTCATTCAGTGAAAGTCACTGTCCCTAATCTATAAAATACTCAAAGTTTAAAAAAAATACTCTATGTTAAAAACTGTGAGCATTGAAAGCTGACTTATCTATTCAGAGATCACATATAGTAAAGGGTATTACAGTATAAAATACCAAGAAAGCAGATCAGCTGATGAAAATTACTGATTTTGAACGTCTTTTTAATCATTATATGACATCCTGATAAGTTTTCCTGAGGAATTAAATGCTTCTGGGATCTTAAAGTACATTTTCTACAAAGAAGTCATAGTGTTTTCTTAAAATAAGCTACCAATTAAAGCAAGAATGTGGAGTAGATGGCATTGGTAGATACAATCAACTAAAACATTGTTTTTATTTTCACTCCAGAGTACGGTGAGCTTATATTCACAATTAGTAAAAGGAAGCAGAGTTGATTTTCTACAACTTCTTCTGTTTCTTCTCTCAAAACCTTCAGAGAGAGGAAAAGGCAAAGGAATGCAGTATTCTCCCATTTAAGTCAACATTACAAATGCAGTTAAAGGGAATATAATATTGCTAAATAAGACCTCATCATGATGTGTATTCTATGACAGTTTATTTTGACTCCTTTAACTGAGCGTTGTGTGAGTTTCTTTATTTGTTAGCCACTCGGTTACGAAGATCAGGATGTTTTTAGCTTTTTAGACACAATATTTGTCGAAGCTCTTCTTCTCATACTATACTTTTCTAAAATGAATTTGAAAGTAGTGAGATGTCTTATCAACTTTCCATAAAATTCTCATTTCCTTGAGCCTGTGTAAACAGCTGACTAAACACATGGCTATTCACTGTCAGGACTTGCTCCTCAGCATCTGCCACGGAAAAGATTCGATTGCACACATACGAACCCAATGCCAGCACCCCAAGGGACAGGGCAATAGAAATGGGAGGGAAATGATCAAGTCAATGAATGATACACTCCATTAATCTTAATGTTAGGACATTAATATTGCTTGGCAACTGCCTAAAATCAACAATAAGCGATCAACCAATTTGTTGCCTAAAAGTTGTTGATTTAACCATCAATAACTTAACAGCATAACCATAACAATAACTTTAATTTACTAACTTTAAATAACTAAAGTTCTTTAACAATAACGATAACAGCATATATGTACATCAGTTACGCATTAAAAGATGGATATTTTTTGTGTACATCTGAATGGAGAATATTAGATAATGTAGAAAGACATGAGATGAAGTTGATAATACAACCCCTTAGAGCTTTAATAAATGAGCTCTCTCAGTCAAGCCACAGTAACGACCTTTTCTCTGTGATATGAGCCAGGACTCTGCAGGTGTACAGAGGAGATAAACTGCAATTATAAAGTACAATTAACAGGTAGTAGCGGTCTCATTTATTATACACACCTACGCATGTTTCCAAGCCTGATGATCACTAAGTATTCACAGCAAGTAATCACCCACTGGACAAAACAGCATTACTTCACCTTCTGAAAAAGTAGTTTCTACTACTTTGAAAAGCTTGTTGGTGATGAGACGAAAACTGAAATAGGTTACAATTCTAATACACACACAGTACAGGTAACACAAAGAGTCTTTCATTATTTAACATTCTTAAGCATCACCCAAAATGCCAAAAAGAAATACGGTAAGTTTCAAGGTTTTGCATAAAGTACTACACTGAGCTTTTAAAGTGAAGGGCTTAGTCACCCAAATACCGTCTTAGGCCTTATAGTATCTCTCCTGAGTTCCCAGTATATAATTTATTATACCAAACAGATCATTCTCCAGAGTTCTTTTGATATTTCTAGATCTCTCTCAACTTATAACCTAATCAGCTCCCTCAATCCCACATAGGCCTCAAGCTAATCTCAATCACTTTTCTTCCATTCATTTTTCATTCACTTATTTACAAATATGTATTTTGCATGAATTGTCTGCCAGCACTGTTTTAGGGGCAGAAAGAATATGATAGTACCTAAGAAAGGCCCTCATTCTTATATCTCTTTAAAGGAAGATAAAAACTTTTAACAAGGTAAATATTTAAAAATACTTTAAAGGAGACCAGGCGTGGTGACTCATGCCTGTAATCCTAACACTTTGGGAGGGAGAAGTGGGTGGATTGCTTGAGGTCAGGAGTTTGAGACCAGCCTGGGCAAAATGGTGAAACCCTGTCTGGACTAGACATACCCGCCCCTAAAAAAATTAGCCGGGTGTGGTGGCACGTGCCTGTAATCCCAGCTACTTGGGAGGCTGAGGCAGGAGACTCACTTGAACCTGGGAGGCAGAGGTTGCAGTGAGTGGAGATCATGCCACTGCACTCCAGCCTAGTCAACACAGCAAGACTCCATCTCAAAAACAAAAAACAAAGAAACTTTAAAAGACACAAAATGCTATAATAGCAGAGAGTGATAATTGCTACAAGGAAAATAAAATATGATTATGGAAAACAAATGAACTGGTTGATCCAACTCCTGTCTGTGTCCACTGCTACCATTTTGGAGTGAGCTCTTGTTAGGTCGCCACTCACCCAGGCTCCAGTGATACCCTAATTGGTTTCCTTCTGTTAATGGCCTTCATTGCTTTTTCTGCAGCGCAGTCAATCTGTCAGGTAGGGCTCTCTAGAAGCAGAGCCTGCAATAGCAATTATTGAGCAACTTTTCTTGAGAGAATAACCTTATGAGAGGGGAATAGTAAGTAGGGTGAGACAAAGATGAGATCTATCTAAGCCAGGATGATCTCAGCACAAGACTGGCTCAGCCTGACACCCAGAGTTTTGGAGCATGGATTGCATTACAGAGTTGGCCTGACGTTGAGGCTAGAGGAATAGCCCTTTATACCATGTGTCAGTCAGTCACTGGCTACAGGTTGTCCAGGCGAGGCAGCTCCCTTAAGTCTGAAGAAGTGCTCAGGAGAGAACAGGGCACTTGTGAGCCCTTAGCTACCAACAATAGTATGCGGGGGTGCAATGCAGAGGCCTAGTAAAGTGGGACTGAATGGAGCAGCACCCTTTAATTTAAAAGAAGAAGAAAATGGATATTGATTAGAAACACAGCAGCATCTGCCACAGTTAGAAAAAGCATGACTATGTGGTGTTTCTGTAAGAACATGAGAGAATGTCAGTGAAGCACATCATAACAGTGATTGGAGCATGAGTTCTCAGTCAATGGCAGTTATTTTGATTGTGACAGAGATTGAGATGTTTATAACTTGAATAGCTGGCACTAGAATTCCTATTACAGAAGAATTCCTAATGTTGAAGTACTAGTTTGATGAGCTGCTTGGGATAAAATTGAAACTTCAAAGTTATGCCCATTGGCAGGAGTTAAAGCAGCAAAGGGGGCACCAAAACTATCTTGTGTGAGAAAAGGAGACCAATTTAGTTTTTGCTCCTGAGAAGAGAAAAGACAGAAGAGAAGGGAGGGGAAGGAGGGAGATGCGGGAAGGAGGGAGATGCAGGAAGGAGAGCCAGGATCATGCTAGAGAAGCTCAGAGGGAATTAGCTGGCCAAGCAGTGGGGAATTAACTTTTAAAGAATATAAGGCTTGGCCTGGGTGCAGTGGCTCACACCTGTAATCCCGGCACTTTGGGAGGCCAAGGCGGGTGGATCACCTGAGGTCGGGAGTTCGAGACCAGCCTGACCAACGTGGAGAAACCCATCTCTACTAAAAATACAAAATTAGCCAGATGTAATGGCACATGCTTGTAATCCCGGCTACTCAGGAGGCTGAGGCAGGAGAATAGCTTCAACCCGGGAGGTGGAGGTTGTGGTGAGCCAAGATTGCGCCACTGCACTCCAGCCTGGGCAACAAGAGTGAAACTCCATCTCAAAAAAAACAAAACAAAACAAAAAGAAAGAATATAAGGCTTATGTTTACAGTAATTTTTGTTACACCTCCATATCTTCTGTAAGGTTATTGAAAATAAACTAATGGGTTACATGTATATGTGTCTTTTTTTGGTGAAAATTGAGGGAGAAAATAAATCTTATTTATGAGATAGGATGTTTGAATCATAGAGAAAGAATAATCTATAAAGTGAAGAAGTTGGAATTCTCAGCCAGAGGTGACTGTACTATCTGGAATATCCTGAGAAACAGAACCAATAGCAGAGACAGAGGGAGAGCGAGAAAGACTTACTATAGGTAATTAGCTTATGTAATTCTGGAGGCTGAGAAGTCAAGTTCGCAGTTGGCAAGCTGGAGACCCAGGAGAGCCAATGGGAGAGTTCCAGTCTGAGTCTGAAGGCCTGAGCACCACGAGAGTCAATGGTGGAAGTTCCAGTCTGAAAACTGGCAGGCTCAAAATCCAAGAAGAGCCAATATTTCAGTTTAGTCTGAAGACAAGAAAAAAGTCATGACCCAGTTCAAACAGTCAGGCAGGAGTTTTCTCTTTCTTACTGGAAGGTCAGAGTAATTTTAGTTCTATTCAGGCCTTCAACTGATGGAGTAAGGACTACTCACATTAGGGAGAGAAGCTCGCTTTACTCAGTCTACTGATTCAAATGTTAATTTCATCCAAAAGCACCATCACAGACATAGCTGGGATAATGTTTCATTAAACATCTGGGCACCTCATGACATAGTCAAATTTCCACATGAAATTATTCATCGCGAGTCCACCTCTTGTCAACTTGGCATCCATACACATCTCCTTAAACTATACTTAATCTCCAAATAAAGAAAATAGCAAGGCCATGCTTCTGTCTAATATATCATCATCCCATGTACCACTGAAGACACACCTACCCCTTCCCCAGAAAAGGAGGTATAATCCTCGAATGATGTTTACTTTTCTCCTTGATATCCTGCAACTTAAATGTTATAATATAAAATCAACAACACTTAAATGCAATGATATAGTCAATACATCCCTTATAAGGGAATAAGACAGCAGAAAAACAATAATATTTGCTTAATGCACCCACACACATTTGTATGTATTCATAACAAAAAAGGAGGAAATGCTGATAACAATTTCAATCTTGATTTCTGTAACTGGTCATGTGGTCATAGCTGGTATTTATAGCTACCTTCTTCCACTAAGCACCTCACTTCTTCCACTAAGCACCTCAGCTGGTCGTGATTATTTCCTTGTTGGGATGACCCAAGGCTTCATTCCTGAAGGGTCTGGGCCATTAGTTGTCCTGCCTGGATTAGGTGGTTGTCATTTTCCATTGACCATAATTACAGAATATTATAATCCCAAGGACACCCTAAGGGTATATATATTGCAGACACACCCTTCCTTATCTCCATTTGGAAGTACGAGTCCAAGTTCCCCTTGCCAGTTAAGATCAATAACCAGAACTAGCCCAGTAACTCTCTTCCTTGCCTGTTGATTTACAGGCATGAGGAATCCAAAGCCACTGGGTAACAGTTTTAATTTCCAGTTCTATAAAGGCATTGTTGTGTCTCTTGGTGGAAGCAATCCTTCATTTGAAACAGACTTCTAGGCCAGCAGATCATAAAGTTGTAGGATCAAGAGGCAAACATTTTGCTAGTAGGTCACTAGGAATAACGGTGAGTGAGACCACTCCCACTTTCTTCCCTTGATTCCTGGACCTGTGAATTCTGCCTTTTGGAGAAACAGCATCATATTTTCGATGCTGATTTAAAGCATGCAGACTCCTGAGGAATCTTTCCCCAGCTCAGTACTGCCACCTGGCTGACACTGTAACTGAGTCTGCAAAAGGCCATTCCATCATTCTACCAAACCAGCTACTTCAGGATGGTAGGAAACATAGTAAAGTCGATGAATTCCATGAACATGGACCCATTGCTGCACTTCTTTTGCTGTTAACTGAATTCCCTGATCAGAAGCACTGCTGTATGGAAAACAATGACTGTGGTTAAAGCATTCTGTAAGCCCATGGATGGTAGCTTGGGTAGAAACATTGCATGTAGGGAAGGCAATTCTATATCCAGAGTGTCTGTTCCAGTAAGAATAAAACACTGCCCTTTCCATGATGAAAGTGGCCCAATGTAATCAATCTGTCACCAGGTAGCTGGCTTATTACCCCAGGTTCATATCAAGGATTCAGAGTTGGTCTGCGTTGCAAGCATACTGGACCGTCACAGTGGCCATGGCCAGGTTGACCTTGGTGAGTGGGAGTCCATGTAGGCTAAGTCTCCATCCTGCCACTATGGATACTTTGTTCCTGAGTCTACTGGGAGATGACAGAAGTGGCTGGCGAAAGAGGCTGATAGGTATCCACAGAATGGGTCATCCTATCCACTTGATTTTTAAAATTCTTCTCTGCTGAGGTCATCCTTTGGTGAGCATCCACATGGGACACAAATATCACCATGGTTTTGTCACTCATTCAGAGAGGTCCACCCACACATACCTCTTTCCCAGGTTTCCTTGTCACCAATCTTCTAATTATGTTTACACATTATGCCATTTGTTCTTTCCAAGCAAAGTGAACAACCTGGTGCACTATTTGAAGTTGAGTCCACTGGGACAACTTCTCTTCACCACTGTCCAGGGATGTCCCAGAGAGGGGCTACAGTGCTGCAGCTATCCACTTTCAGATGATTCCTGAATATTATGCAAAACCCTCTGTAATCCAGGCCCAAGTCTTCTCTTCTTTAGTCAACTGATAATGGGGAGCTCCCCATGGGACCATAAGTGCAGGCTGCGAGAGAAAGGTCAGTGTAGCAGATGTGGGGACCATGGGCTTTTGGGTCACTTTTTCATGTAACTTACTTGTGCCTCAGAGCCTGCTCAGACCTAATCATGTGTATACCACTTCCATTAAATGCTGGAGTGCTCCTCTGCATGCCTAGCTTCATAGCTTGGTGAATCAGATAACACCCAGCTCATCACATGCAGCTCAGATCACATGGCAACTTGGTGGCCCAGGGTTACGAGTTCTGTATCTACTAAGGTCTAGTAGCAGGCCAAGAGTTGTTTCTCAAAAGGAGAGGAGTTATTCACAGAAGATGGCAGGACTTTGCTCCAATATTCTAAGGCCCTGTGCTGTTACTCACTTATAGGGCTTGTCAAAGTCTCCAAACACCATCCTATCTGCCACTGGCACTTCAAGCACCATTGGATCTGCTAGATCATACGGCCCAAGCAGCAGAGAAGCTTGCACAGCAGCCTGGACTGCTACAGAGCCTTCTCTTATTCTGGGTCCCACTCAAAAGCAGCAGTTTTCTAGGTCACTCAGTAGATGGGTCAGAGTAACACACGCAAATGAGGAGTATGATGCCTCCAAAATCCAAAGAGGTCCACAGAGTGTTGAGTCTCTTTTTTTCGTTGTAGGAGAGACCAGAAGCAACATCACCTTAAAAGGAATATCTTGATGTGCCCAACATCACTAGACCTCTCGAAATTGTACTGAGGTAGAAGGCCCCAGCATTTTAGTTGGATTTATTAACCACTCCCTGACATGTATGTCTTACCAGTAATGCCATCAGTGTAACGGACCAGTAATATCTTGTGGAAGTAAAAGGTAATCAAGATCCCTGCCAACTAAATTTTAACATCGGCCTAGAAAGTTGACATATCTGTGAGGCAGGATAGCGAAGATGGATTGCTGGCCTTGTCTGCTGAAAGAAAATTGCTTGTAATGAGACTTATGAACAGATACAGAGGAAAAAAAGCATTTGTCATGTCAATGGCTGCATATCAGAGGATGTGTTAATTTATTCAATGAAACCACATCTGATACAGCAGCTGCAATTGGAGTTACTATCTAGTTAAGCTTACTGTAATCTGTCATTCTCCAAAATTCATTTGTTTTCTGCACAGTTCAAATAGGTGAATTGAATGGGGGATGTGGTGGGAATCACCACCCTTGCATATTTCAAAACCTTAATGGTAGCATTAATGTTTGCAACCTCTCCAGGAATGCAGTACTAACTTTGATTTACTACTTTCCAAGGCAGAGACAGTTCTAGCGGCTTCCATTTAGCCTATCTCACCATAATAACCCTTGTCCCTTACACAAGTTAAGGAACCAATGTAGGGTTCTTCCAGCTTCTGAGTATATCTATTCTAATCATGCATTCTGGAAACAAGAAATAACCACAGGATGGATTTCGGGACTCACTGGGACCACTGTGAGACAGACATGGGATAAAACTCCCTGAATCACCTGATCTCCATAAGTCCTTACTTTGACTGGTGACCCACAGAGGGGGTTTAGGTCTCCTGGAATTAGTGTCAGTTCAGGGCCAGTGTCCAGTAGTTTCTAATAGGTCTGATTATTTCCTTTTCCCCGTTGCATAGTTACCCTGCTAAATGGTACCTTACTTTTGGGGAAGTTGTGAGGAAGTTTAACAGTGTAATTATTTTTGCAGTGTATGGTGCTCCTTCCTCAAGAGTACTTGGCCTCCCCTCCAGGGGGTTCTGGGGCTATAAACTGGCTCTAATATGGGAATTGATTGAGGAGTTGTGACTCTGGTCTAGGTTAAACTTATATTCACTTGACCTAGGAATTTTCTGCTTACCCAGTGATACAGTTTGGATATATATCCCCAGCCAAATCTCAGGTTGAACTGTAATCCCCAGTATTGGAGGTGGGGCCTGGTGGAAGATGACTGGATCATGGGGGTGGAGTTCTCATGAATGGTTTGGCACCATTCCCTTGGTGCTGTTCTCATGACAGTGGGTGCCTTCTCATGAGATCTGGCTGTTTAAAAGTGTGGCACCTAACTCTCTCTCTTTTGCTCCAGCTTTCACCATGTGACATGGAAGCTCCTGCTTTGCCTTCCACCATGATCCTGAGGCCTCCCCAGAAACAGATGTCAGTGCTAATGCTTCCTTGTAGAACCATGAGCTAATTAAACTTCTTTCCTTATAAATTACCCAGTCTCAACTATTTCTTTATAGCAATGCAAGAACAGCCTTATGTATACAGAGAAAGTAAGAATTTAGTAGACTTCCAGAGTATTTCACCTCTAGAACCATCATGCTCAACTAACCAACACCATAAATCTGCACAAGTGAGATGATTCTGATTGCTGTCTTGAGTCTGCCTCCCTTACAGGAACCACACCCACTCTCACTTTGGTACCACCCCTTGGCTCCTGCCATCCTGGGATCCAATTACTCCCATTGTCTAGATTTTCCAAACAGTGACTGCATTCTCCACTGTAAGGTCTGGCAATCACAAAGCTCTTCAGAGACACTTAGGCTCTCCTTACAAATTGATTTCTCACAATAGCAGTGAAAAGAAGTACATCTTCTGTTTTCTCCCAATGAGGGTGGTTAGATCTGAAATGGCAAATCTATTCTAACATTCCGATCTCCCTAAGCCTTTGAATGCTTTCCTCTACAGATGGTCCCCTTTAAGATGGTTCCTGTTGCAATGGTGTGAAAGTGACGCACATTTAGTAGAAACCACACTTTGAATTTTGAATCTTGATCTTTTCCCAGGTTAGATCTGCTGTATAACACTCTGTTGCAATGCTGGGCAGCTGCAGGGAGCCACAGATCCCAGCCACCCACACCATCACAAGGGTAAATGACCAATACTCAGCTGCGTACTGTGAGTGTGCTGTGTTGCCAGTGGTTTTTATTTTTTATACTTTTAATGTTTTAATTTTTTCTTATTTTTCATAAGTTATTGGGGGTACAGGTGGTATTTGGTTACATGAGTAAGTTCCTTAGTGGTGATTCGTGAGATGTTGGTGCACACATCACCCAAGCAGTGTACACTGTACCATATTTGTAGTCTTTCATCCCTTGCCCCCCTCCCACTTTTCCCCCCAAGTCCCCAAAGTCCATTGTATCATTTTGCATTCTCAAGCTTCATCAGAAGAGAGAGAAACCAATGACCCTGTCACTATAACCTCTCCATCAGCCAGCAATTAATTTTAGTTCAATGTTTCAAATTTTCTTCAGGCTCCGCGCACTTTCAGCTGTGTACATTAATGGTTAGTACCCATACAAGTATTCTGTTTTTCACTTTCAGTATGGTATTCAATAAATTAGGTCAGCTATTCATTACTTTATTATAAAATAGGCTTTGTGTTAGGTGATTTTGCTCAACTATAGAATAAAGTAAGTGTTCTGAGCATGTTTAAAGTAGGATAGGCTAAGCTATGATGTTTGGTAGGTTAAGTGTATTAAATGCAGTTTGACTTGCAATATTTTCAAGTTATGGTAGCTTTATTGGGATGTAACCTTATAGTAACTAGAGGGGTATCTATACATTCAACCAAGGCAGGTCTGGCATTTCCAACTTACTCACTGTAGGCCACCTTTTGGTCTAGGCTTTAGTCAACCACAGAAAGTGTTAGAGCCCTTTCTGACTCCTGAGATGCACATTAACTGTATAATCTATGCTTAGTAAAAGTAATTTCAGCCTGAGGTAAGTTGGTGTTCCTCCACCAATATCTCTCACACTTAATATCCATTCTCACATGTTTCCTAGGTTTCTGTCTGTATAATTTTAAAAACTCAAACAATTATTGTAGAGTGTAGCACACCTCCTCATGGGCCACACTTTATACCTCACCTTTAGGGGCCCGCTGAGATGAGTCTAGTTCTAGATCCAGAAGCAAAGAAAGATGGTAGGCATGGTTCCTGAGAATATTCAGCATTTTCTTGATGGCAGCTTCCTCAGGGGAGGCCACTAAAATTTCATCAGTCACTAAGAGGTTACTCTCTTCAAATGGGGGTAGAGAGGCTGCTCCCCCTGGGGCTGGGGAGACATCTTCCAGCAGAAAAGAACTTAGTGGTTCAGTGTTTCCAGCTTCATCCAGGTCTTCCTTCACATCACATCCCCACTCCAATATTCAGATTCCATTCCTTCCCAATCAATGCCCTCACTTTCCCCATAAATACTCTACAAGGCTGGGAGTTCAAACTTACATTGTAATTCAGCCAGTCACAGGATGAGTTTCTGGGCTTCATTTTCAGCAATCTTAGACCTGAAATTACAGGAGATAAATGTCTCCTTCAGGGCACACATAGAAGCTTTCAGATCATTTAGGTAGCATTTGAGCTGGGAATTTTAATCGTTAAGCTCATCTTTCTCTTTCTATACTTTGTCCAGCACCATTAGGAACAATCAGTCCTGAACTGTTATATTCAATAGCTTGTCGGAAATGTTTGAAAGTACCATATACACAGTCATCCATATCCATGCTTTTTGTAAGTAGTTGATTAGGACTATCCAAGGGTGATATTTTGCATATTTCTGTTGCCAAATCACGCCAGGTACTGTGAGTGCTTTCTTTACCACTGGAAACAGAACCACTAGCATCTTTAATTCTAATCAGATTAGAAAGCCAATTCTGGAAACTTCAGAACAAATTCAAGAAATTTATTCTTAAAATTTTGTTTCTCTAGAACCACTGTTAGTACTAAATCACGCTAATCTCAGTACTAATCTGTATTAGTCACGTACCTTCCAAAAGAAAAAA